>NC_000014.9:73702622-73854137 GCF_000001405.40 Homo sapiens | reverse complement strand
AGAGCGAAACTTTGTCTCAAAAAAATAAATAAATAATAAAAATAAATAAAATATAGATACCTAGATTTAGTCATAAAATTAACAGCTAAAATAAGACACATCAAGTTCCAAGATCTGAAAGAAGGGTAGATTGTTAAATTCATCCCAAGTAGGGGAAAAAAACTCAGCAAATCCTATTTGCCTGGGATACTATTCCTACTTGGTGCTAATATTCCAAAATAATAACAGACGAATTTGCTCCGATGTGATGATAGAGTGTGTTGAGTGTTTACCTTGCAGCCTGGTAAAAGGGAAAGGTCATTTAAGTAGGAAGAACAGAGTACTTCTCCTAGTTCTAACCAGGTGGGAACTTGGAAAAAGTCCCTTCTCTCAACCTGTTTCCTTAATATTCCTAAATGCCAGGAACTGAGCACAGACTCATTCACTAGCCTGTTTAAACCACCTCCCCCACCCTCACCCCAAAAAAACTGTGAGGTTGGTAATATCATCCTCTCAATTTTATAGATGAGAAAAGGGGCCGGGTATGGTGGCTCAGGCCTGTAATCCCAGCACTTTGGGAAGCTGAGGTGGGCAGATCACTTGAGGTCAGGAGTTTGAGACCAGCTCCGACAAAACGGCGAAACCCCACCTCTACTAAAAATACAAAAATCAGCCCGGCGTGGTGGCGGGCGCCTGTAATCCCAGCTACTCTGGAGGCTGAGGCTGGGGAATCGCTTTAAACCGGGAGGTGGAGGTTGCAGTGAGCCGAGATCACGCCATTGCACTCCAGCATGGGCGACAAGAGCGAAACTCCATCTCAAAAAAAAAGAAAAAAGAGAAGAAAAAAGAGGTACAGAAAGAGAATAATTCGCCCAGAGTCGCCCAACTTGTAATAACGCTAGAACCCATACTCCAACACGGCACCTGCTATTTCCATCACATGAGCTTCCTAATACCTTTTAATACCCTTATTTCGTGCGATTATTCTGCCACTAGCAACCCTGTTGACCACGCCTTGTTATAAAACGTATCTTTCTGGGCCCAGAGCCGTGGCTCACACCTGTAATTCCAGCACTTTGGGAGGCTGAGGTGGGAGGCTCACTTGAGGCCAGGAATTCGAGACCAGTCTGGCCAACATGGGAAAACCCCGCTCTACTAAAAATACAAAAATTAAGCGTGGTGGTGGGCGCCTATAGTCCCAGCTACACAGGAGGCTGAAGCTGGAGAACTGCCTGAACCCAGGAGACTGAGGCTGCAGTGAGCCGAGATCCAGCCAGGACACTCCAGCCTGGGCAACAGAGCGAGACTTTGTCTCAAAAAACAAACAAACAAACCACGTGTCTTTCTGGATCTCTCTGCCAGTCTTCTCCTCCCCTTCCGGTTTTCTGGTCTCCCCCTTCCCCTCCCGAAGTCTTGCATGTGGAGATTCCTATCTTGCTCTTCCCTTTCTCAGTGACCTCCCTGAGCCCTGTGGCTCCTCCTACCAACCACTTTATATGGAAATTAATAATAATTTGCGTCTCTAGCCCAGAATTTCAAACTAACTGCCCAGCTCGTCAGCGCTAAGAGGATAAGGACTCGTCTGCTTTGTTCAATGATGTGAATCCAGGCCGGGCGCGATGGCTCACGCCTGTAATCCCAGCACTCTGAGAGGCCGAGGCAGGCAGATCACGAGGTCAGGAGATCAAGACCATCCTGGCTAACACGGTGAAATCTCGTCTCTACCAAAAATACAAAAAATTATCCGGGCGCAGTAGTAATCCCAGCTACTCGGGAGGCTGAGGCAGGAGAATCGCTTGAACCCGAGAGATGGAGGCTGCAGTGAGCCGAGATCGCGCCACTGCACTCCAACCTGGGCGACAGACAGAGCGAGACTCCGTCACACACACAAAAAAATGTGAGTCCAATCCCCTATGCCCGGCGCATGGTACGTGCTCAACAAATCTGTGTTAAATGAAAGTTTCAGAGGCACCTCAAACACAATTACGTCAAAACCTCAGGTTGCTTTCCCCCAGTAATTCAAAAAAAACCCCAAAACCTGCTTCTGTTTCTCGAGCATTCCCTATCTCAGTGTTGCGGGCAATAACGCCAGTGTCCCCGGTAGCTCCGGGAGGACGCCTAGAAGTCACCCTGGTTGAGAGTCTTCTTCCTCACCGCTGGGGCCCGAAGCAGCTTCGGGAGCCACAGTCGCGGGAGCCGCTCGCGCGTCACTGACCCTGTGGAGCCCGGGTGAACGAAATCTCGCGTGATTTGCCGGAAAGAGGCTGTACTGCACGACCCCAGCTCGCCCCCAGGCCTCGGCCCTCTGACCGCAGTACGCAGGCGCGCGACTAGGCCCGGCTCCGCGCCCCCTCCCCTCCCAGGGGCGGGGTTTGGAAGCTTAGGGATTGGAAGTTTAGGATTCCTGGGCGCCCCACGTTTCCGGGAGAAGCAAGGGAAATGCGGAACGTCAGGGGAGAGTTACTAGTCTGGGCAAAGTGCATTAATAACTTAACTGAGATTGGTTCCTTGTGGCCGCCCCTACTGCCTTGACCCAAAGAGCAAATCTTGCAGCCTTGACCAGTGAGTTCACATTTAGCAGTCCGTGAAGAAGTTTTATTAGTTTTGTGGATTTCTCCCTGAACCTCGATTGGGAAATTATAGTGAGACAGGGACCGTCAAGCCTACTCCTTGTTTTATAGATGGGGAAACTGAGTCTCGGAGAGCTGATGTGATTGGACCACCTACCTTTCAGCTGGTTAGGGGCAGTGCTGGGATAAAACCCCTCTCTCCGGACCCTAATCCAGGGCCCCTTTGCGCCTCTTTTATTTCACGAAGAATACCAAATTCCTCCAAGATTACCAGTGTGGGCTGATTTCTCAATTTCATTCATCGTTAGTCGTCTCCTTTTGTGCTGGACTGGGTTGAGAGAAGTGTATACCTAGGACAGCTTCGGATCCCCAGGGACTTCAAACCCTAAGAAAGATCATCTGAATTAGGCAGGTATAAGAATTGCTTGTATTCATGTGGGAGCTAATAGCTCAGCACAAGTCATGCATGGAGTAGCTGAAAGATGACTAGGTTGGTGAGCAAGGGAATAGTGATCAAACAGGTTGGAGTTCCTGGTAGCTTTATGTCTGAATATTTTTGCTTCTTTGGGAAAGCTTCAGGAAGGACTAGGAGAATTACACTACTTTGCAAACATTTTCAGACAGGAGCTAATCTCTTTTATCTGTCATGGACAGGTAGACAGACCTTCAATGCCTTTTGTAATGACTTAAACCAAATGATGAAAAATAAAATGCTCAAATAGACAAAAAGTAGTAGTATAAAATAAAGGTAATCTAGAACTTGATTTAAAAGAAACACTTTCAAAATAGAAAAGAAGCCCTGCAATATTAAATTAGTTTTGGGGCTGGACGCAGTGGCTCACGCCTGTAATCTCAGACCTTTGGGAGGCAGAGGCAGGTGGATTGCTTGAGTCAGGAGTTCGAGACCAGCCTGGGCAACGTGGTGAAACCGCATTTCTTCAAAAAATAAAAAATAAAATGAAATTAGCTAGGTGTGGTGGTGCTTGCTGGTAGTCTCTCAGCTGCTCAGTAGGCTGCAGCGAGCCTTGATCACACCACTGCACTCCAGCCTGGGTGACAGACTGATACCTTGTCTCAAAAATTTTAAATATATGTATGTGTATTAATTAGTTTTAGCTCTCTTGATTCTAGGGTCTGTGAACTCCTTGTAACAAGTGTGATTTTTCTCGCCAAAATGAGTTCCCAAAAATTCAAGAGATGAGTAGAGGATTTATAGGTACATTTCTATCCAGTTTATCCTCTTCTTCTAAATTTTCTCTAACACCAAGGATTACTATCATTTACATAATGCGTAGTTTGAGTTGGATAATGCCTTATATGATTTTTTGCCTACATGATTTAATTTTCAAAACAGCCCTATTATTATTATTACCATTTTACGAATGAGGAAACCGAAGTTAAGCTAGTTAAGTTCTAAGTCAGGTTAAGTAACTAATAAGTAAAGGAGCAAGTTATCCTGCCTGAGTCCAAGCACCTGACCCTTTGTTATATTTGCCATAAATCTGGAATTCCCTACTCCTCCCTCTTTGCAGAACTTTGTACTGCCTCCTTCTCATCGTTCAAGCAATTCCTGAGAATCATTTTCTTTTTTTTCTTTTTTCTTTTCTTTTTTTTTTTTTTTTTTTTTGAGACGGAGTCTCTCTCTGTCGCCCAGGCTGGAGTGCAGTGGCACGATCTCGGCCTACTGCAACCTCTGCCTCCCGGGTTCAAGCAATTGAGCCTACTGAGTAGCTGGAACTACAGGTGCATGCCACCACACCCAGCTAATTTTTGTATTTTTAGTAGAAATGGGGTTTCATCATGTCGGCCAGGCTGGTCTCAAACTCCTGACCTCAGGTGATCCACCTGCCTTGGCCTCCCAAAGTGCTGGGATTAAAGGCATGAGCCACCACGCCCAGCCCTGAGAATCATTTTCTAGACTTCACTAGAAGGAAGTGTCAATTCTTCTCATCTCCATCTTATCAAAAAAAAATACATAGTATATATTGTTTCATTCAAGCATGATAAATATAGGCCAGGTGCAGTGGCTCACACTCATAATTCCAGCACTTAGGGAGGCGAGACAGGAGGATCACTTGAGGCCAGAAGTTTCAGACCAGCCTGGGCAACATAGGAGACCCCTATCTCTACAAAAAACAAACAACAACCAAAAAAAAAAACAAAAAGAAAAAAAATAGCCAGGTGTGGTGGCACACACCTGCAGTCCCAGCAGCTACTCATGAGGCTGAGGCAGGAGGATCGCTTAAACCCAGGAATTCCAAGTTGCAGCTAGCTATGATCTCATCACTACATTCCACCCTAGGTGCCAGAGTAAGACTTTGTCTCAAAAAAAGAAAAAAAAAAAAAAAAAAAGCCAGGCACTGTGGCTCAAACCTGTAATCCCAGAACTTTGGTAGGCCAAGAGGTAGGAAGATCGATTGAGCCCAGGAGTTCAACACCAGCCTAGGCAACATGGCAAAACCCACCTCTACAAAAAATTTTAAAAATTAGCCTGGTGTGATGTGTGTGCCTGTTGTCTCAGCTGCTTGACAGACTGAGGTGTGAGGATCACTTGAGCCCAGGAGGGCGAGGCTGCAGTGAGCTGTGTTTGCACCACTGCACTCCAGCCTGGGCAACAGAATGAGATTCTGTCTCTTAAAAAAAAAAATGCATAATAAATATAAATACTTGGCCGAGCGCAGTGACTCACGCCTGTAATCCCAGCACTTTGGGAGGCTGACGTGGGCGGATCACAAGGTCAGGAGATCAAGACCATCCTGGGTAACACGGTGAAACCCCGTCTCTACTAAAAATACAAAAAAATTAGCTGAGCGTGGTGGGGGCGCCTATAGTCCCAGCTACTCAGGAGGCTGAGGCAGGAGAATGGCATGAACCCGGGATGCAGAGCTTGCAGTGAGCAGAGATTGCACCACTGCACTCCAGCCTGGGCGACAGAGCAAGACTCCATCTCAGAAATAAATAAATAAATAAAATAAATATAAATACTTAATCTAATATGTTTGTATACTCATTCATTAAATTATTTTTTAGTTTTTTCATTCATTAAATTATTTTTAAATGAAAATAACCTCGTATGATAGCAAATTACTCAGGAGAAATCATTCAAGTTTGACCAACCTGCATGGTATATGACACTTAGTGCAACATCAAAGATTATTTGATGCTAAATAAAACATTTTTCCATGGAGGTGATAATTGTTCATAATGACACAAATTCAAACCCAAACATACATCCTAAAGAGATAACAGAACAAAGTAAGAGATAAAAACCACACCTGGCTGGGCTCGGTGGCTCATGCCTGTAATCCCAGCACTTTGGGAGGCTGAGGCAGGCGGATCACATGAGGTCAGGAGTTCGAGACCAGCCTGGCCAACATGGTGAAACCCTGTCTCCACTAAAAATACAAAATACAAAAATACAAATACAAATACAAAAAATTAGCCGGGCATGGTAGCGAGCGCCTATAAACCCAGCTACTCAGGAGGCTGAGGCAAAAGAATGGCTTGAACCTGGGAGGCAGAGGTTGCAGTGAGCCCAGATCACGTCACTATACTCCAGCCTGGGTGACAGAGCAAGACTCTGTCTCAAAAAAAAAAAAAAAAAAAAAAAAAAAAAAAAAATGCTGTAACCGAATCCTGTGAAACTCAAGCTTAAATAAATGCTTTTTCAGAAAAATTGAGCATTTAGAAAAAGGTCATATTTGTGCCTATTACAAGGTGGGTTCTCTGGAAAGCAAACCCTGATGGGGAGTTTGGTATGCAGGATGTCTATTAGGGAATACCTTTTGAATCAATACCTATCGGAGGAAGAGGAAGAAAGCAGGACTGGGCAACAGGAGAAGCTGAACTCCCCGGGGAGCTTGGAACTAACATGGCCAGTCAGAGTTGTCCTCTGTTGGACCTGAATTTTCTCCCACTCCTTTTAGTTAAAGTCACTGTGGGTAATGTATCTCAAAATTGCAAAGCAAAATTTTCTCCCCTGTACCTCCTATTGGTATGACTGATCTCTTTAGGGGCTTGAATGCTATAAGCTATTTCACTGCTATTAAATAAAAGCTTATTTATTTATTTATTTACTTTAATTTTTTTTGAGATGGAGTCTTGCTTTATCACCCAGGCTGGAGTGCAGTGGCGGGATCTTGGCTCACTGCAACCTCTGCTTCCCAGGTTCAAGTGATTCTCCTGCCTCAGCCTCCCAAGTAGCTGGGACTACAGGCACCCACCACCATGCCTGTATTTTTGTATTTTTAGTAGATACGGGGTTTTACCATGTTGGCCAGGCTGGTCTTGAACTCCTGACCTCAAGTGATCCACCTGCCTCAGCCTCCTAAAGTGTTTGGATTACAGGCATGAGCCACTGCACCCGGCTATATTTCTTCCTCCACTTCTGCCAGTAAAATTTAGCTCCACTAGCCTACATTTTACATATAATGCTGACTAATGAAATCCAGAGCCTGACCTTAAAAATGCTAAGTCTTCAAAATTAACAAAAAGAGTCCCAGAAAGAGATGAATGAGATTTCTTCTCTCCCCTGCAGTTACTGATGAAGAGCGACATTTCTGTATCATAAAATCATTTCAAAGACTCTAACCGTATAAGGTGTTAAATTAAGAACATTTATATGATTACCAAGTTGTATGGATATTTATAAATGTGATCAACATGTTTTTGTTCCCCATTAATGTATCTGTCCTTTGAAGTACAATTTCAGAAAAGAGAGCTTGAAAACTCTTAGAGGTTTAGAAATTCTTGCATGCCAAGTGAAAATAACCTTGAAAGAAAAACTTTTGAAGATTGGCTGTTGTATCGTTATCTATTGCTACAAACAAATTACCCCCAAAACTTAGTGGTTTAAAACAATGAACTTTTCCGTGGCTCACGCTTGTAATCCCAGCACTTTCTGGGGGCCAAAGTGGGTGGATCACGAGGTCAGGAGTTCGAGACCAGCCTGGCCAACACAGTGAAACCCCGTCTCTACTAAAAATACAAAAATTAGCTGGGTGTGGTGCCGGGCGCCTGTAATCCCAGCTACTCAGGAGGCTGAGGAAGGAGAATCACTTGAACCCAGGAGTCAGAGGTTGCAGTGAGCCAAGATTGTGCCACTGCACTCCAGCCTGGGTGACAGAGCTAGACTCCATCTCAAAAAACAAACAAACAAACAAACAAAAACTATGAACTTTTATTGTATTATCTCAGAGTTTTGAAGGATCAGGAAGCCATGCACAGTTTAGCTGGGTGATTCTGGCTCAAGGTCTCTGTAATCAAGCTGCCAGTCTGGGCTGGGCTGTGGTCTCATAAGAAGACTCAGCTGGGGAAGAATCCACTTCCAAGCTTGCTTTCTTTTCTTTCTTTTTTTTTTTTTTTTTTTTTTTGAGACAGTCTTGTTCTGTTGCCCAGGCTGGAGTGCAGTGGCACAGTCTCAGCTCACTCAAGCTATTCTCATGCCTCGGCCTCCCAAGTAGCTGGAATTACAGGCACATGCTACCATGCCTGGCTAATTTTCTTATTTTTAGTGGAGACAGGGTTTCGCCATGTTGGCCAGGCTGGTCTCAAACTCCTGGTCTCAAGTTACCTGCCCACCTTGGCCTCCCAAAGTGCTGGGATTATGCATGAGCCACCGCGCCTGGCATAGGATGTATTCTTAAATCGTATAAATATTGTATTTAAAAAACTGTAGTAATCAAGGCATTGTGCTGTTGATGCAAGGATAAATAGATCAATGGAAGAGAAGAGTCTTGAAATAAACCCTTCCTACATTATAGTTAATTGATTTTTTACAAAGGGGTCAAGACAACTCAGTAGCAAAATGATAATCTCAATAAATGATGCCGGCGCAATTGGATATCCATACACCAAAAAACAAAAGCAAAGCCCTGGAAAACAAAAACAACAAAAAGAAACTTGAATCTTTGCTCACACCAAATACAAAAATTAATTCAAAATGGATTATAAACCAAAACCTAAGAGGTAAAAATATAAAACTCAAAAAAAGACACCAAAAGCAGAAACCATAGAAGAAAATGTGATAAATTAGAATTTATCAAAATTTAAAATATAAAGTACCTTAAGAAAATGAAAGGGCCATGGGTGGTGGCTCACACCTGTAATCCCAACACTGGGAGGTCAAGGCGGGCAGATTGCTTGAGTTTAGGATTTCTGTACCAGCCTGGGCAACATAGGGAGACCTTGTCTCTACTGAAATTCAAGAAATAATTATTAATAGCTGGGTGTGGTGGTACAGGCCTGTAGTCCCAACTTACTCAGCAGGCTATGGTGGAAGGATCACTTGAGCCTGGGAGGTTGAGGCTGCAGTGAGCCTTGATCATACCACTACCCTCCAGCCCGGGCAACAGACTGTGACTCTCTCTCAAAACCAAAAAAAAAAAATGAAAATGAAAAGATAAGCCACAGACTGGAAGAAAATATTTGCAAATCATACATCTGATAAAAGGCTTATATTGAAAACACATAAAGAACTCATAACTCAATAGTATGAAGATAATTATGAGATATGGCTGCTGAATGTCTGAATAAGAAAACAAAAAAACAAGGATATATGAAGACAATCAACCGAATTAAAAAATGGTCCCAGGAGAGGCGGAGCTTGCAGTGCGCCGAGATCGTGCCACTGCACTCCAGCCTTGGCGACAGAGCAAGATTCCATCTCAAAAAAAAAAAAAAAAATGGTCCCAGGGGCTGGGTGCGGTGGCTCACACCTGTAATCCCAGCACTTTGGGAGGCTGAGGCAGGTGGATCACTTGAGGTAAGGAGTTCCAGACCAGCCTGGCCAACATGGTAAAACCCCCTCTCTACTACAGAAAAATACGAAAATTAGCTGGGCGTGGTGGTGCACACCTGCAGTCATAGCTACTGGGGAGGCTGAGCTAGGAGAATCACTTGAGCCCAGGAGGCAGAGGTTGCAGTGACCCAAGATCAGGCCACTGCCACTCCAGCCTGGGTGACAGAGTAAGACTCCATCTCAAAAAAAAATTTTTTTTAATGGTCCCAGTCCAGTGCGGTGTCTCACGCCTATAATCCTAGCACTTTGGGAGGTCAAGGTGGGAGGATCACTTGAGGTGAGGAGTTCAAGACCAGCCTGGGCAACATAAGATTCCTCTCTCTACAAAAAATGTTAAAAATTGGCCAGATGTGGTGGCACGTGATTGTAGTCCCAGCTACTGGGGAGGCTGAGACAGGAAGATCACTTGAGTCCAGGAGGTGGAGACTGCAGTGAGTGAGCTATAATTGTACCACTGCACTCCAGCCTGGGCAACAGAGGGAGACTCTGTCTCTCTAAAAATAAGTAAATAACTAAAGTAAATCTTAATGTAATTATGTAACTTTTGGACTTCAGTTAACAATAATGTGTCAATATTGGCTCATAAACTTTTTTTTTTTTTTTTTTTGAGATGGAGTCTCGCTCTGTCACCCAGGCTGGAGTGCAGTGGCGTGATCTTGGCTCACTGCAACCTCCGTCTCCTAGGCTCAAGTGATTCTCCTGCCTCAGCCTCCTGAGTAGCTGGGATTACAGGCATATGCCACCACGCCCAGCTAATGTTTATATTTTTAGTAGAGACGGAGTTTATCTCAGTAAGACTTTCAAGCTCTGTGGTCACCGTTTGAAAAGCATTAGATACGCTGGGTGCAGTGGCTCACACCTGTAATCCTAGCACTTTGGGAGGCCGAGGTGGGAGTTTCATTTGAGCTCAGGAGTTTGAGACCAGCCTGGGCAACATAGTGAGACCTTGTCTATACAAAAAATGAACAAAATTAGCCAGGCGTGGTGGTGTGTACCTGTAGTCCCAGCTACTTGGGAGGCTGATGTAGGAGACTCGCTTGAGCCCAGGAGGTCAAGGCTGCAGTTAGCTGTGATCACCCCACTGCACTCCAGCCTGGACGACACAGTGAGACCCTGTCTCAAAAGAAAAAAAAGGAGGCGGGGGAAGAAAGAAAGAAAAGAAAGAAAAAGAAGGAAGGAAGGAAGGAAGGAAGGAGGAAAGGAGGGAGGGAGGGAGGGAGGGGAAAAAAGAAAAGAAAAAGAAAGAAAGGGAAAGTATTAGATAAGCAGTTGAGAAAGGAGCTGAGATCAGGAATTCAGTTCTGCATCTTCTCTGTGACTTCTCATTCATCTCTGGGTCAGTCATAGAGTCTCTCTTGTCTTAATTTTCTCATCTGTGAAATGGCTACCCCTTTATTTACCACCAGTGGTATTGAGAACCTTAATCAACATTTAGGAAATAATATGTCATCCTTATAACATGAGACCCATAATTGAAAGACTATACCATTATCATGGCCCATTTCATTTTATCTGGATTTTTTTTAACTAAGTTGGTTTTACATTTTGATGTGAATTTATATGCAGCACTATTGTTAAACTGAGTGTTGATTTTCACTCCCCAGAGAGTTTTCTCCTTCAGTAGTGGAAAAATGAAGTGTACATTATTGCAATAATAACACCCTTACTTGTGATCTTGTCATTTCACAAGATTCTTTTTTTTTTTTTTTTTTTTTTTCTGAGATGGAATCTTGCTCTGTCACCCAGGCTGGAGAGCAGTGGTGCAATCTTGGCTCACTGCAACCGTTGCTGCCGGGGCTTAAGTGTTTCTCCTGCCTCAGCCTCCTGAGAAGCTAGGATTACAGGTGCATGCCACCATGCCCAGCCTTTTTTTTATTATTATTTTTTTTTAGTAGAGATGGGGTTTCACCATGTTGGCCAGGCTGGTCTTGAACTCCTGACCTCAAGTGATGAGCCTGCCTTGGCCTCCCAAAGTGCTGGGATTACAGGTGTGAGCCACAGCACCCAGCCTCATAAGAATCTTGATACAGGAGTTGGGCTAAATTACTGCTGAGAGGAGAGACTTTCAGAGTAAAAGCATGTGCTGTAGGAACAAACTTAACTGCTGTTGTTTGCATTTTCCTTTTTCCACGTTCAATTCTTGAGAACCCAGGAGTAGATAAGGCCTAGCATCATATAGGTTCAAACACTTCTTTTTAATATAATAGCTGCTGTTTCTCCTCTAGCTGCTCCGCCAATCCTATGAGACTCCCTTCTTATAGTCCAGGGGGCACTTCCTGATATCTGGCCCCAGCTATTCCCTTTTTCTTGTTGGCTACTGAAGAAATAGTGGGCAAGAGCTTGTGGTTTAGATGAGCTGCCAATCCATACCTCAGCATGCATTCTTATCAACCAGTGTCAATTGTGATGACTCTTGGCAAAAGCTCTTTAATTTCTGTCTCCCATTGATATTTGCTACCATGCTCTCCTGCTGTGGCCAGAATTCAGTCCTAAGAAGTTACCACATGTGACTGGGTGCATTTTGTTAAATAATAACTTTATTGATATGTATACATCCATATGATGATGTAGATACAGATCATAAACACTACTTTATGCCATATATATATATATATATATATATCTGCACATGAGTGGTTCAAACTCCTTGACATAAAAACATATAGAATTTGGGCACAGTGGCTCATGCCTGTAATCCCAGCAGTTTGGTAGGCCAAAGTGGGAGGATCACTTGAGGCCAGGAGTTCAAGACCAGCCTGGGCAACATAGTGAGACCCTGTCTCTACAAAAAATCTTTAAAAATATTAGCAAAGTGTGGTGACACACCCCTGTATTCCCAGCTACTCAGGAGACAAAGATGGGAAGATTGCTTGATCCCAGGAGGTTGAAGTTATGCTGAGCTATGATCGTACCACTCCAACCTGGGTCACAAAGCAAGGCCCTGTCCCCCACAAAAACAAAAACAAAAACAAAAACATACAGAATTTCCATTTAGATTTTTTACAGCAGGGGAAAGCATGCTGATGTCAGTTCATTGGTAATTATTTTGCCCATAAGTACCTGTTGGAAAAAGGAAATCGTGAAAACATAAAGAATAAAATTACCATGAATCATACTAGTGATTTAAAGTAATACTATTATTACTTGTTTGATTTATACTAATTCACACTAGTGATTTATAGTAATAATTTATAGAATAACTTACTAGAGCATTATAGTTTTCCAAAATTATATGCATTCTATGTGAAAACAATAGGTTTACCTACTTTGGGAGATGGGGAAAAAAGCAAAGGGAAGATATGAATAGCACATATAAGCAAATAGTTAAGCTGTAATAAAACAACAAGATATTGTAGCAGAGTCAAACACTATTTTTATGTCCAAGAATAAAAATGTTTTGAAGAACTGTTTCAGATTTTCATATTTTATAGTAAAGCGATCATAAAGCTTTACTGCATGCTGAAATACTGAATGACAGTGTAGCAGTTACTGTCATCATTCCCTGAACTCTCTCTCTGTCCAGTGCTTTAGCCTTCTAAAGAAAAGGAATGTTGTATAATAAAGAATCTGGGCCAGGTGTGTGGGCTGATGCCTGTAATCCCAACACTTTGGGAGGCTAAGGCAGGGGAACTGCTTGAGCCTAGGAGTTTGAGACCAGCCTGGGCAACAAAGTGAGACCCTGTCTCTACAAGAAATTTTTATTACTATTTTTTAATTTTGTTTGAGACAGGGTCTCACTATGTTGCCTAGGCTGGTCTTGAACTCCTGGGCTCAAGTGATCCTCCTGCCTTGGCCTCCCTAAGTGCTGGTGCTGGATTACAGGCATGAGCCACTGCCCTCAGCTCTACAAAAAAAAAATTTTTTTTTTGAGTCGGAGTCTTGCTCTGTCACCTAGGTTGGAGTGCAGTGGCACAATCTCGGCTCACTGCAACCTCCACCTCCCGGGTTCAAGCAATTCTCCCTGCCTCAGCCTCCTGAGTAGCTGGGATTGCAAGCACCCGCCACCACGCCCGGCTAATTTTTATATTTTTAGTAGAGATGGGGTTTTGCCATGTTGGCCAGGCTCATCTTGAACTCCTGACCTCAGGTGATCCGCCCACCTCGGCCTCCCAAAGTGCTGGGATTACAGGCGTGAGCCATCATGCCCGGCCAACAAAAATTTTTTTAAAAAGGTTAGCCAGGCACCTATGGAGGAGACTGAGGTGGCTATGGAAGCAAAATTGGAGGAAGAAGTGACTACAGAAATGATCAGTACAATCGACCATACTGATGACTGTTTTGAATATTCCTTTGTCTCTGACATGATCCATAGTGAAATTGCCAGAGTTTTGCCTGCTGCTTTCCTCGTGGCCTCTTCTTGGGTAGTGAAATTAAGTGATTTTTTTTTTTTTTTTTGAGACGGAGTTTTGCTCTTGTTGCCCAGGCTGGAGTGCAATGGTGCGATCTCGGCTCACTCCAACCTCCACCTCCCAGGTTCAAGTGATTCTCCTACCTCAGCCTCCCAAGTAGCTGGGATTACAGGCATGCACCACCACCCCGGCTAATTTTGTATTTTTAGTAGAGACAGGGTTTCTCCATGGTGGTCAGGCTGGTCTTGAACTCCCAACCTCAGGTGGTCCACCCGCCTCGGCCTCCCAAAGTGTTGGGATTACAGGTGTGAGCCACGCGCCCGGCCGTGACATTTGGATTATTTGAGTGGGAGGGCTGGGACAGTTTTTCTTTTAGAAATGTTGAGATTTCCCCTTTTAGTTTCCAACCTTCTCCTCCTCAACCCTTAGAGCTAAATGTGTTGTAAAATATTGCCAATATGAAAAGTGTTTTGTAATACTGCAATAAAGGCTGCTTGTTTTTGTGGAAAAAAAAAAGGTTAGCTGGTGATATGTGCCTGTAGTTTCAGCTACTCAGGAGGCTGAGGTGGGAGGATCCCTTGAGCCCAGGGGTTGGAGGTTGCAGTGAGCTATGATCGTGCCATTGCATTCCAGCCTGGGCAACAGAGCAAGACCCCATCTCAATAAATGAGTGAATAAATAAGTAAAAAGTTAAACATAAACAAATAAAATTTAGCAATTTACATTTCAAAGAACAACCATCAGTTTGGGAAAAGGCCAATTTTCTCCAAATAATTATTTTACAGTATGGGCAATTGTTTCTCATCCTGCTTCAGTGTTTATCATGACAAAAGTTAGTTTTACAAAAGATGTGGAGATTTGTATTTTTAGTAGAGACAGGTTTTCACCATATTGGCCAGGCTGGTCTCGAACTCCTGACCTCAGGTGATCCACCCACCTCAGCCTCCCAAAGTGCTGGGATTACAGGCATGGGCCACCGTGCCTGGCCCATTCTCCATTCCTTCTGATCTCCTTAATAAATATTGCTGTGAACATACCTCTTTCAGTTGATTTCATCATTTCACCAACCTGAACACAAAATCCATTAGGCTGGTATTACAATAATATCCTCTGACAGATAGCACAGTGCTACTGAGTAGATGTGTTGGGTTGTGTGGGAGGCGGAAGATGTACCTTGATCGGGGTAGGAGAGGGCTGTGCATAACAAAATCAGAAATGAAAATGAACTGAAAGGGGTGTCAAGTGCAACTAGTCTAAAACACAATGCGCAACCAAATCCTTGACAATAGTAGGAAACTACTTGCAGGGAGAACGTTCAATTAAGCCACTATTTTCAGGAACTAGTGGAAAAAGGACTAATAAGCATCCAACTGCTGAACATCATCTTGAGAAACAGCTAAATGACAGGTGCATCACCAAAGTGGGTAATGAACACATGAATAAAGATGTGTTTTGTGTCTGAAGTTACATTGCTGTGAGTAAATTATTAAAGAGTTTTATACTTTAAGGCTCAGCAAGAAGAAACTCTTGTTAAGTAGCTCTTTAGGGGACAGTGGGTTTCTACTGATCATGTAGTCAACCAACATGGCTATGTTCTTTTGTGTGTGTGTGTGTGTGTGTGTGTGTGTGTGTGTTTGTGTGTGTGTGTGTGTGTGTGTGTGTGAGAGAGAGACATAGTTTTGCTCTTGTTGCCCAGGCCAGAGTGCAGTGGTGCGATCTCAGCTCACTGCAACCTCCACCTCCTGGGTTCCAGTGATTCTCCACTTCAGCCTCCCGAGTAGCTGGGATTACAGGTGCCCATCGCGATGCCTGGCTAATTTTTTGTATTTTTAGTAGAAACAGGGTTTCATCATGTTGGCCAGGCTGGTCTAGGACTCCTGACCTCAGGTGATCCACCCACCTTGGCCTCCCATAGCGCTGGGATTACAGGCATGAGCCACCGGGGCTGGCCAAGGCTCTCTATGTTCTATGGTGCCTGCGCTGCTACAGTTGCTGAAATCCTTGTCTTAGTTGCCTGGGGCAGACACAGTCCCCACATACCAAGCATATATGTACACACAGTACCTCACCTCTTACTGTAAAGAACAGCACAAAATCCAGCTCAAGGCATGTTGCATCATTGGAACACCTGAAAGCCTGCTGCTTTTTCTTCCTGGATTGACTTTATTAAAGTCAGCCTCCCTGGGCTACCTTTAATTCTGCAGCTTGTTTAGACCCAGAGGTCTGACAAGACTTTCCGTAAATCCAGCTGCTTTGGTGCTTCCCAGGGGTCAGCCTGTGTGGGCCTGGTATACAGGTGGCCATGCTTGTGAGATCGATTGAACTTATCTTTTTTTTTTTTTTGAGACGGAGTCTCGCTCTGTCGCCCAGGCTGGAGTGCAGTGGCGGGATCTCGGCTCACTGCAAGCTCCGCCTCCCGGGTTCACGCCATTCTCCTGCCTCAGCCTCCCAAGTAGCTGGGACGACAGGCGCCCGCCACTACGCCCGGCTAATTTTTTTGTATTTTTAGTAGAGACGGGGTTTCACCGTTTTAGCCGGGATGGTCTCGATCTCCTGACCTCGTGATCCGCCCGCCTCGGCCTCCCAAAGTGCTGGGATTACAGGCGTGAGCCACTGCGCCCGGCCCGATTGAACTTATCTTTAAAAAAAAAAATTGTCTTTTTCATTTATGCTTCTGTAGGGGAGAAAGATAACATCTTTCCTCACTCATTGCTAGGTTCATGGCTGACCCCCCTATAACAAAAGATGGATTAACAAGAAAAGGGAGATAATCTTTTCTGTTCTATTTTACCAGGTCCTTAGGAGAATGTAGGAGGTTTGCGATAGAAATGCAAAGAGAAGAGAAGGAAAAGTTTCAAGAGTTTTACAGAAGTGTCTTTAAGAAAATTGAAGGGGGTCAGGTGCTGTAGCTCACGCCCATAGTCCCAATATTTGGGAGGCCAAGGAGGATGGATCACTTGAGGCTAGGGCACCTGTAATCCCAGCTACTCAGGAGGCTGAGGCAGGAGAATTGCTTGACCCCAGGAGGCGGAGGTTGCAATGAGCCGAGATGGCGCCACTGCACTCCAGCCTGGGCAACAGAGTGAGACTGCATCTCAAAAAAAAAAAAAGAAAGTTGAAGGGAACATATTTCCTTCAGTCCTGGCTTCCTGGCAGGGCCCCAAGGAGGTGGCAAAGCCAAAGGGCCCCAAGGAGGTGGCAAAGCCAAAGAGAGGAAAGGAATTGGGGCCCTCAATCTTGCAAACAAGTCTCATGTCCCAAGTGGGCGTAGAAACGAAGGTGTCAGCAGATCTGAAGGGGCTACTGGGAAAGGGACAATGTCTCTGCAGGGATCTTCAACAGCCAGGCAGGACTCAGTGTCAGAAGGCCACATCCAACTTGGAATTGGGTAAGATTGTGGAATCTTTGCCTGATTGCAAAGTGCCAAACATCAGGAATGACCAAAGTTAAATATTTGCCTGCCTGTGCGACTGGGGCACAGAGGCAGAAACTCAATTGATATGGAAAACAAAATACCCGTTCTGCAGGTCTGGCCCTGGGTACTGAGACTGGTTTTCTCTGTGCATTCATCAGTGAAGTTATGTAGATATAGCTCAACTGGAACTACATTTCCCAGAATTCCCTCCCACATAGTGTATGAGTTAGGCTTGGCTACAAGTGAAAGATTCCATGCAATTTGGACAGCAGAAGTGAAGCAGTGGCCATAATGCTCTGAAAGCCTCACATACCTCGTGACTGCCCTGCTGACTTCCTTTGTTGGTGTGGGGCAGCAACTTGGCCCACCATTCCTCCAGTTCCCATCTCAGGGATGCTTCCTGGGATGCTTCCCAAATAAACTACTTGCATTCAAATCCCCCCCCTCCTTTTTTTTTTTTTTTTTTTTTTTTTTTTTTTTTTTTTTTTGAGACAGGGTCTCTCTCTGTCACCCAGGCTGGAGTGCACTGGCTGGATCATGGCTCGCTGCAGCCTCGACCTCCCGGGCTCAAGCAATCCTCCTGCCTCCGCATCCCAAATAGCTCGGACTACGGGCATGAGCCACTACACCTGGCTGATTTAAAAAAAAAAAAACTGTAGAGACAGGGTCTCCCTATGTTGCCCTGGCTGAGCCTCAAACCCCTGGGTTCAATCAGTCCTCCAGCCTCAGCCTCCCAAAGTGCTGGGATCAACTCCTTATCTCATGGCTGGCTTCCAAGAAAACCCAAACTAAAACAGATCTCATAAAATGGAACAATGGACTGAACTTGATTAAGTTAAATTTACTTATTTATATTTTATTTTATTTTTTGAGACAGGGGCTGGAATGTCAGTGATGTCACCCAGGCTGGAGTACAGTGGCGTGATCTCGGCTCACTGCAACCTCCGCCTCCTGGGATTACAGGTGCCCATCACCACGCCTAGCTAATTTTTGTATTTTTAGTGGAGACGGGCTTTTGCCATGTTGGCCAGGCTGGTCTTAAACCCCTGACCTCAGGTGACTGATCCACCCGCCTGGGCCTCCCAAAGTGCTGGGATTACAGGTGTGAGCCACCGCACCTGGCTGGATAAAGTTAAATTTAAAGATCTGCCCAGCTGGGTGTGGTGGCTCACACCTGTAATCCCAGCACTTTGGGAGGCCGAGGTGGGCACATCACAAGGTCAAGAGATTGAGATCGTCCTGGCCAACATGGTGAAACCCCGTCTCTACTAAAAATACAAAAATTAGCTGGGCGTGGTGGCGCATGCCTGTAGTCCCAGCTACTTAGGAGGCTGAGGCAGGAGAATTGCTTAAACCCGGGAGGCAGAGGTTGCAGTGAGCCGAGATCGCACCACTGCACTCCAGCCTGGCAACAGAGTGAGACTCTGTCTCAAAAAAAATAAATCTACCCTTAGATTCAAAAACCAACTTCACGTATAACAAGGAGATACTCACACCCAAGCAGTCACCGGTCTTAGAGTTGGAGCAGGCCTCTGGCTGTGCCTGTGGGGAAGCTCAGGGGTGGTCCCAAGGGTCCCAGGTTTTCAATAACTTTACATCCTGTTCAGCTATACCAGATGAATAAGTGTTGTTTGTGTTTAAGATGATGCTGAGCAGATAAAGAGAAGCACACCAGTGTCACCCTAATACATCTGAGCCCCCATCTCCTTCCCAAGGCCTACATCAGTGCTGCATCTTGGTCAAAAGAAAAGCCAATTTGACTCCAAACAACTTTGAAAGTAACAAAGCCTGTACTAAATCTCTCTCAGGCTGGGCGTGGTGGCTCCCTCTGTAATCCCAGCACTTTGGGAGGCCGAGGCAGGCAGATCTGTTGAGCCCAGGAGTTCAAGACCAGCCTGGGCAACATGGCGAAACCCTGTCTCTACCAAAAACAAACAAGCAAAAAAAACCGTATATATATAACCATCCATTTATATATTTATATATATAACCATATATTTATATATATATAACTATATATATAACTATATATATATAACTATATATATAACTATATATATATAACTATATATATAACTATATATATATAACTATATATATATAACTATATATATAACTATATATATATAACTATATATATAACTATATATATATAACTATATATATAACTATATATATATAAATATATATATAACTATATATATATAACTATATATATAACTATATATATATATAAATTAGCCAGGTGTGATGGCATGTGCCTGTTGTCTCAGCTACTTGGAGGCGGAAGAATCACTTGAGCCCAGGAGGTTGAGGCTGCAGTGAGCCTTGATGGCACCACTGCACTTCAGCCTGGGTAACAGAGCGAGACCCTGTCTCAAATAAAATAAAAATAAATCTCTTTCAGAAGGTTGATTGACGAAATTGAGGAAGGAGCTACCTTACTGAACCAACAGCAAGTTCTCTAGCTTCAAAATTCCACCCTTAAGGAAATTGTTTAAATCTTTCTTCAGTTCCCCAAAGGCTCCAGCGCCCCTGTGGGTGCGTGCCCCCAAGTCCCAACCCCAAGTCCGCACTGGTCCACAAATGTTGGAGTCTCAATGACTCACAAACCAAGAGTTTCCTCAAGAGGTTGGGGTTGGGGAAAGAATGGGATTGGGAGGGAACAGGGAGAAACTGACTAATTATACCTCAAAAATTATTGTCCCTGTCATATGCAAAAATTAATTGTTTAAATGATCATAAATTCAGGATCCACCACTCCCTCCTTACCAGCCAAGCCTCCTCTCAGGGAGAATTAGCATAGGATAATAGGAACGGACTATTAGAAACAACTCAGTTACCCCTCACTTCCTGCTGGGAGCCAGTCCCTTATTCAGATAGGTATTTTAGGCAGGGTTGCTAATGACCTCCAAGCCCATTAGTGACATTCTTTATGTTTGCTTCACATGCTGATGCAGGTGATGTGACTGCCCCTGGCAAGATGGGAACTCCTCTCTCTGCCCTGGCACAGCTGCCTTAATGTTCTTAGGTAGCCTCTACTATTGTGTTCTAGACTTAAAATCCAGGCTAGTAAAAAGGGCGTCAGAAATTGGCCGACCATGCAGTCCTTTCCTATTTTGTTCTTTTCTGCACTGATGTATAAGTAAAAGTTTACGTGGTTGACACAGCGCCCAAACTCCATTTTCTTTGCTAATGGAAGAGAGTAGAGGGGAAGAAAACACAAAACAGGCTCTGTGTGCACAGCACACACACTGTCATTCTCACAGGGGCCTCCCTGGCTTCCTGGGCAGCTTGCCTCTTGAGGGGAGAGCAGGGCCCCTGGTCGTGGTGCCAGGAATTCCTAGTTGCGTCAGAAAGGGCAACCGCTGCCCATGAAGGCTGAGCAAATTCCCCGAGGCACCCAAACAGTGGGCAAAGGAATTCAGAGGTGGTGGGCCCCTGCTGCCTCCACCCCTCCTACTTATAAAAACACAGGCAACAAGCCATCAAAAAGACACTTTCAACCAGCAAAGCCCTAATATCCAAAATGCATACTCCAATGAATCAATATGAAAAAAAAAAGCAACCCACTAGAAAAAAATAGACACTTCACAAAAGAGGAAAAATATATTTAAAAGACGCTCAACTTCATTAATTAGCAGGAAAATGCAACTTAAAACAACAATAAGATGTCTTTATGCCTGATGATATCAAATGATGAAGAGGATGTGTAACAATGGGAACTCATACATGGCTGGGGAGGGAATACATTGGATTCAGTCACTTGGAAAACTATTTGGCAGTATCTAGCACAGTTGATTATTCACAGATGCTATGTGCCATTTGTCCCAAAAACCTGACCACTTCTCTTCCAGGTCTCCCAGAACCTTATCTGGATTAGCTATACAAACAAATGAGGTCTGGATTGAGGAGCTGGCATTCCTTTCCTTCCTTCCTTTCTTCTCTCCCTCCTTCTTTCTCCCTTTTCTTCCTTACTTTCTTTCTTTTTACCTTTTGCCTTCCCTCCTCTTCTTTCTTCCTTTATTTTTGCTTTTCAAAATAGTAAAATACAACATACATATAGAAAAATACATATAGAAAAATGCATAGAAAACTTTGAGCACTTTGGGAGGCCTAGCTGGGTGGATCACCTGAGGTCAGGAGTTTGAGACCAGCCTGGCCAACATGGTGAAACCCTGTCTCTACTAAAAATACAAAAAAGTTAGCCAGGCATGGTGGTGCACACCTGTAGTCCCAGCTACTCGGGAGGCTGAGGCAGGAGAATTGCTTGAACCCTGGAGACAGAGGTTGCGTGAGCTGAGATGGAGCTACTGCACTCAAGCCTGGGTGACAGAGCGAGACTCTGTCTCAAAAAAAAAGAGAAAAAAGAAAAACGAATAGAATATCTTTGGACAGTTTAAAAAATAATTACAAAGCAGCCCCCTGTGTAACCAACACTCAAGTCAAGAAATAATAATGGCCAAACATGGTGGCTTATACCTGTAATCCCAGCACAATGGGAAGCTGAGGCCAGAGGACTGCTTGAGCCCAGAAGTTCAAGACTGGGCAACAAAGTGATGTCCCGTCTCTATGAAAAATTTTAAAATTAGCTGGGCATGGTGGCACGTGCCTATAGTCCTAGCTACTTGGGGGGCTAAGGTGAGAGGATCACTTGAGCCCAGAAGGTTGAGGCTACAATGACTTGTGATTGTGCCATTGCACGCAAGCCTGGGTAACAGAGCAAGACTCTGTCTCAAAAATAAAATAAAATAAAATAAAATAAATAGTAATAATCAGCACCCAAGAAGTTCCCTGTGCATCCCCTGAGTGATCACAACCATCTCCCTCCTATCAGAATTACTATTATACTAACTTTCATGATGTTAATTCCTTCTTGTTCTTTATAATCTACCACCTGTATTTGAATTTTATATGTGTGGATTCCCACTGTGCACATTCTTCTGTATCATGCTTCTTTCCCTCAATGTTATGTTTGTGGGATTCAAACAACTAACTCACTGGTTGTCACCGTAGCTCACTCATTTTCATTGCTGTATTGTATGAATCCACTACGATGCATCTCTTTCATTCTTTTTCTACTTTTTTTGAGACGTAGTCTCTCTCTGTCACCCAGGCTGGAGTGCAGTGGCACGATCTTGGCTCACTGCAACCTCCGCCTCCCGAGTTCAAGCAATTCTCTGCCTCAGCCTCCCAAGTAGCTGGGATTACAGGCACCTGCCACCATGCCCAGCTCATTTTTTTTTTTTGTATTTTTAGTAGAGACAGGGTTTCACCCTCTGGGCCAGGCTGGTCTTGAACTCATGACCTCGTGGTCCACCCACCTCAGCCTCCCAAAGTGCTGGGATTGGTGGCAGGCGCCTGTAGTCCCAGCTACTGCGGGGGCTGAGGCAGGAGAATCACTTGAACCCGGGAGGCGGAGGTTGCAGTGAGCTGAGATTGCGCCACTGCACTCCAGCCTGGTGACAGAGCGAGACTCCGTCTCAAAAAAAAAAAAAAAAAAAAAATAGATAGGATTGTTTCTGTTTTGAGCCTATTATGAACAATGCTGCCAAGAACATTCTTGCACCTAAATCCTGATACCCTTGTGCAAGAGCTTTTGTAAGGTGATGGCATCAGGGGGCTTCCCTTTAATCAGGGCTTAGTGCATTCACGCTTTTCCCCTGTCTCCTCTTCCAAAACCACCTCTCAGGAAAGGATTAGAAGTTCACTCATGTTAAGGTATAAATGGCTGAGAAGGATTAACATGTAGTCTCTCCCATATAACTGTGAGGTGGGGACAAAGGAATTAATTTCTAATTGTAGAATTTTAGTATCATGCCGGGCGCGGTGGCTCACGCCTATAATCTCGGCACTTTGGGAGGCCGAAGCGGGCGGATCACAAGGTCAGGAGATTGAGACCATCCTGGCTAACACAGTGAAACTCCGTCTCTACTAAAAATACAAAAAAATTAGCTTAGTGTGGTGGCGGGTGCCTGTAGTCCCAGCTACTTGGGAGGCTGAGGCAGGAGAATGGCGTGATCCCAGGAGGCGGAGCTTGCGGTGAGCCGAGATTGGCCACTGCACTCCAGCCTGGGCGACAGAGCAAGACTCCGTCTTAAAAAAAAAAAAAGAAAAAAAAAGAATTTTAGTATCAAGAGATTGGTGGAGAGAAATCCATTAAGTTAGCCCTAAAAAAAGCATCACATGGTTGTAATACCATGAACCAAGAAAATGAAAAAGAAAAAATCCATATAGACAACAACAACAAACCAGCCAAGGTGCTATACTCTACTTGAAAGGTCAAAACCCACATACAAGAAACGAAGTCCCGCTGGGCACAGTGGCTCATGCCTGTAATCCCAGCACTTTGGGAGGCTGAGGTGGGTATATCATCTGAGGTCAGGAGTTCGAGACCAGCCTGACCAACATGGTGATACCCCATCTCTACTAAATATACAAAATTAGCTGGGCGGGTGGTGCGTGCCTGTAATCCCAGCTACTTGAGAGGCTGAGGCAGGAGAATCGCTTGAACCTGGGAGGCAGAGGTTACAGTGAGCCAAGATCACACCATTGCACTCCAGCCTGGGCAATAAGAGCTAAACTTCGTCTCAAAAAAAAAAAAAAAAAAAAAAGAAGAAGGAGAAGAAATGAGGTCCTGTCTCCGAGGATCAGTTGGTAGTTAATGGCTAAGCTAACTGGTGATAGAGTGGTCAAAAGTAAGTCCTCAAGGCCAGATACCTGCACTTGAACCTCAGCTCCATCAGCTAGATGAGTCACGTTCTCCCAGCCGCAGTTCCTCTTCTGAGAAATCGACATAATGAGAGTACTGACCTCATCAGGCTGTTGTGAAAATAAAATAATGACTGAATCACATTTCACACAGCGCTTTCCGTTTAGTAAGTGCTCAAATAGTATTGGGCATCCTTCTTATTTGTGTTATTTGATGCTGAGTGTGAGCACTTTCTCTGTGTCAGGGTAAGCCAATGATCTGAGTAGGGCTTGATAATGCCATTGGAGAGTCTGACAAGATCAAAGTGTAAATGGGAGAGAAGAGGAAAAGAAGGAAAGAAATGAGAGCCACATATCTACTGGCAAAAGGAAAAGTGCAAAATTTCCAAGGGCAGGCTGCTGAAGGCCTGCCAGAGCGGGTAAGTGGAGAGGCTGGGCCAGAGAGGCAGAGGGGCTGCTCACCTAGATCAGGCCCAAGAAGCGGTTTGAGTGGGTCTCACTGTGTCAGGATAGAGAGGTCAGGTGTAGTCAATACATGAATAGGAAGGTGCAGGGCAAGAAGTAGGTCAGACAACAGCAAAGGTGTGCATGCCCACAGGATTGCTGTAGATCAACTGGAACTGAGGCCTGTGGCTTGTGATGCAGCTGTGGCTAACAGCTCCTATGCATGCTGATGGCTTCACGTCTCAAGCACCAGTGGAGTCTCTCAGCTTTTCTGCTTCAGAATTTTCTCCTCAGCTTGGAAGCTTGCTCAGTCCAACTTGCAGATACAGCCACAGAAGAAAGGGGCGGGAGCTGGGTAGTAGGGGAGTGGGAGAGTGCCAATGGAAGATGAAGGTTGCTGGATAAATGTCCCAACCTCTCACACTTCAGCAGGACAATTTTGGGTGGTTTCTATATGGTTCTTCAAAAGTGTGCAGGGAGATTGAGCCAATTGTCCACAGTGACAACCCAGCTCAGTAATGTATCTTTCATTGGCTTTCCGTCCTTCCTGTATCACTCTCCTCTCTCCCTCCCCGTCTTCCTTGGATATCTTCCCAAGTAAACTATTGTCACCCAAGTTCTTGTCTCAGGGTCTGCTTTAGGAGGCACCAAACCTAAGTTGTTTTATTACTAACACAAATCTGAAGCTGAGATTCCAAAAACTGAAACAAAAACTAACTTAAATAGAATGTAGTCTTGATGTGGGGGCTCACGCCTGTAATCCCAGCACTTTGTGAGGCCAAGGCGGATGGATCACTTGAGTCCAGGAGTTCAAGACCAGCCTGGGCAACATGGCGAAACCTCATCTCTATAAAAAAATAGAAAAATTAGCCAGGTGTGGTGGTGCAGGCCTGTAGTCCCAGCTACTTGGGAGGCTGAGGTGGGAGGATCGCTTGAGCCTAGGAGGGTGAGACTGCAGTAAGCCACCATCATGCCTCTGCACTCCAGCCTGGAAGACAGAGCAAGACACTGTCTCAAAAAAATAATTAATAATAAACTAAAAATAAATATAATAGAATGTTGAAGAAACATGGTCTAAGTGGAAATTAGGAGTGATTTTGCCAATGGAAAATTTCAAGAACTAATAGATCCTGTTCCAGCAGGTGTGACTAGAGAAAGAGGGAAAAAAAAAAAGAATAGAGTCAAAATCATTGTATAAGCTAGATGTGCTCAGATAAACCAAACGTGGGCAGGCATATGAATAGAAGAAAAAACAAACTGCAGGAGTATTAGAAGAAAATGTAAGCAATCCTGGGAAAATAGTCCTCAGAAATTCTCACAAAGGACCATATATGAGGTTGTTCATTACAGGGTTGTTTGTGGTAAGGGGAGTTGAAAGCTCCAGGGGCTCGATGCTGGGGGAAGGGATGAGGGTAGCAGTTAGAATCAAGAAACTGAGGGTACCATGGCTATGTGGAAGGGCTGTAAAACAGTGCTGAGAGAAGACAGTCAGAATAAGGCCTGTGGCACAATATCATTTACCTAAATACATATATATAAAAAAAATTTTATTTATTTATTTATATGCATATATATGCATGTATATGTATATGTATATGCATATATATGCATGTATATGTATATGTATATGTATATGTATATGTATATGTATATGTATATGTATATATTTTTGAGATGGAGTCTCGCTCTCTCGCCCAGGCTGGAGTGCAGTGGCATGATCTTGGCTCACTGCAACCTTCACCTCCTGGATTCAAGTGATTCTCCCGCCTCAGCCTCCCGAGTAGCTGGGACTACAGGCACGCGCCACCACACCCAGCTAAGTTTTGTATTTTTAGTAGAGATGGGGTTTCACCCTGTTGGCCAGGATCATCTCGATCTCTTGACCTCATGATCTGGCCTCCTTTACCTCCCAAAGTGCTGGGATTACAACGGCCACCGTGCCTGGCCCGAGAGCCACCACGCCCGGCCACATATTTTATAAGGAAACATGCAAATGCTATAAAACCTATCAAATGCATTACTGTGTTGTGTATGGTGTATTGGGGGGATGGGAATGGGAAATGGGATAAAAGGGAATAAACAGACAAAGATATGTCTCACACAGACCAATGCTGACCATGAGGAATGTGAGCTGAGGAGCTGAGGAGCAGATTAACTCGACTGAGGTCCAAAATGAAAGAAAAAAAGTACAGGGAGATAGTATTATAACCTCCAAGTACGGAAGGCCTCAAACAAGGTATAAAATGCTAAATACAGCTGGGCGCAGCTGCTCACGCCAGTAATCCCAGCACTTTGGGAGGCTGAGGCGAGAGGATCGCTTGAGCTCAGGAGTTCAAGACCAGCCTGGGCGATTTATTGAGACCTAATCTTCAGTAAAAAAAATTAAAAAATTAGCCAGGTGTCGTGGTGTAAACCTGTAGTCCCACCTATTCGGAGGCTGAGGTGGGAGGATTGCTTGAGCTGGGGAAGTCAAGGCTGCAGTGAGCCATGATTGCACCACTGCACTCCAGCCTGGTGAGGGAGCAAGACCCACTCTCCATTTAAAAAAAGTAAAATAAAATGTATACATGCTAAAGTAAAAATTATAACTACTACATGCATAAAAAGACATCTGGCTGGGTGCAGTGGCTCACGCCTGTAATCCCAGCACTTTAGGAGGCCAAGGCGGGAGGATCACTTGAGCTCAGGAATTTGAGATCAGCCTGGTCAACATGGTGAAACTCTGTCTCTACCAAAAATATAAAAAATTAGCCAGGTGTGTGGCGTGCGCCTGTAATCCCAGCTACTCAGGAGGCTGGGGCAGGAGAATTGCTTGAACCCGGGAGGTGGAGGTTGCAGTGAGCTGAGATCATGCCACTACACTCCAGCCTGGACGACAGAGCGAGACTCCATCTCAAAAAAAAAAGACATCTATTAGGGTGTCAACACAGCATTTTAGTAACAACTAGAAATTGAAAATGAAATGGTTAGTGGTGTTCCATTTCTACCATAAAATACTATGCAGGAGTAACAAGAATGAGGTGGACCTGCATGTACCGAGAAGGGGCACAGAGTGCTAGGAGGCCATTCTCAGGGTCACAGAGGGTTCTGCTTGCCTCACTCTGGTCCTGACCCTGCCAGGGTATATCTATAGAGGAAGAAGCAAGTCAAAGAATAAAAAAAGTGACCAGGCACAGTGGCTCACGCCTATAATCCCAGCACTTTGGGAGCCCAAGACAGGTAGATCACCTGAGGTCAGGGGTTCAAGACCAGCCTGACCAACATGGCAAAACCCTGTCTCTACTAAAAATACAAAACTTAGCTGAGCATGGTGTGCACGCCTGTAATCCCAGCTACCCAGGAAGCTGAGACAGGACAATTGCTCGAACCCGGGGTGGGGAGGGCAGAGGTTGCAGTGAGCTGAGATCACGCTACTGCATTCCAGCCTAGGTGACAGAGCAAGATTCCATCTAAAATAAAATAAAATAAAAATAAAAGAATAACAAAAGTCTGGGCAACATAGGGAGATTTTAAAAATACAAAAATTAGCTGGGCATGGTGGCACATGCCTATGGTTCCAGCTACTCGGGAGGCACAGGCAGGAGAATCACTTGAGCCCAGGAGGTCGAAGCTGCAGTGAGCTGTCATCGTGCCACTGTGCTCCAGCCTGGGTGACAGAGTGAATCTCTCTCTCAAATAAAATAAAATTAAAAAGAATAAAAGTACAATACAATTAGTACAATACAATATAATTAGTACAATACAATATAATTTGTACTATAAAAATGGCAGGGAAATACCTACTATGTATCCACAGTTTTGTGTTTTTTTTAATGGCAGGGAGACACAAAAAGAAATTTATAATTTGATCTGTACATTCTACACATACATCAGTGTCTAGAACGAAGTGTGCAAATTAAAATAACTATATATGTTGAATACGAGTGTAGGGAGTATGAAAGGATTGCTACATGATTAGTTGCTCCATTTTAAGATCTTCCAGAACAGTTTTGAGCAGTGAGGCCAGTTTTTCCAAATGTCTCTGGGTTCTGAAACACTCATCTCTCCAGGGTCCTATCCCTGGAGAAACGCTCAGGCCAGAGCCTGCACTTTCCAGAGCTGCCCATGGGGGGGCAGAAGCACCTATGTTAGCCGGCTGCCCTGGCAAACTGCCCTGTGACCTGGAATTTAGGGCTGGGCCCCGCCTGCTTCATAGCCATTAAGGCTGATTATTAAGTTTTTCTGCAGAGCAGCGATTCAAATATGTGCTCTTGGCTGCATATTTTCAAAATTCTGAACATGCAATTGAGTTAAAAGTAACGACCTAATTTTTTTTTCAAAATAGAATTACCCTACTTTCTTTCTTTATGATTATAAAAGTAAAAATATACTTACTATAAAAACTTTTTTGGAAAAGTATAAAATGAGAAAAACACATTTTTATTACCTGGATAAAACATTTTAATGTATTTCTTTTTGTACACAAACACTTTACTAAAAGATTTATTCATACTATACATATCATTTTATAGCTGCTTCATTTCAACTGGATCAATAACACCTCACTGGTATCTTTTAAGGGCTCAATGGTAAATAAAATTTACATACATGTTATTAACCTAGTTATTTCCATTAAAGCATCCTAACACTCACTGAGATGGGCCAAGGCCAAGACCCATGCCACTGTTTGGGCTTTAGATCTGGTAATGCTATTCTGACCAGAGGGCCTGGCATTTCTGTGAACAAATCAACAGTGAAGGGACCAAGTGCTTCCCTGGATCCACACTTCTGAATGGCTGTGGAGTTTTGACAGCCAAGTGCTTTGTGGTCTTTTGTAGGTTCCCTCACACAGTGGCTTTTTTTTTTTTTTTTTTTTTTTTTTGAGACAGAGTCTCACTCTCTGTTGCCCAGGCTGGAGTGCAGTGGCACGATCTTGGCTCACTGCAACATCCGCCCCCAGGTTCAAGCAAGTCTCGTGCCTCAGCCTCCCTAGTATCTGGGACTACAGGCGCCAGCCACCACACCCAGATAATTTTTGTATTTTTAGTAGAGATGAGGTTTCACCATGTTGGCCAGGCTGGTCTCAAACTCCTGACCTCAAGTGGTCTGCCTGCCTTGGCCTCCCAAAGTGCTGCGACTGCAGGCATGAGCCACCGCGCCCGGCCACACAGTCACGACTCTTTGAATAATGAATGTGATTTCAATTTATTAGATAACAGAAAATAGATGCACATCAGCTTCAAAAATCTCCCTTGGAAAAGTGATCGAGCTGTCTATGTATTGTGTGGAGTGACTGACTAGAAAATGAAGTCTTTGGATTGCCAGATTTTAGCTGCTTCTCCCTTAGGGGAAGTGATTATCTCATTATAGAAATGTATAAATGTAGCTCTTGCTAACTACATTGTTTGGGGAGGTTTGATTCAAAAAAGAATAAAGCAATGGCTTCATATGCAAAGACATGTCAGATTTAAACTGTCTTTCTTTCTGGCCCTGTTCTTCCAGGAGTGCCTAGAAAACTTAACCAGATAAAAAATAGTTTGGGCTGGGCACAGTGACTCACACGTGTAATCCCAGCACTTTGGGAGGCCAAGGCGGGCATATCCCTTGAGCCCAGGAGTTCGAGCAACATGGCAAAACCCTGTCTCTAAAAACAAATACAAAATACAAAAAAATTAGCCAGGCATGGTGGCACGCACCTGTAGTCCCAGCTACTCAGGAGGCTGAGGTCAAGGCTGCACTGAGCTGTGATCATGCCACTGCTTTTCAGTTTGGGCGACAGAGTGAGACACCGTCTCAAAAAAAAAAAAAAAAAAGAAGTCTGATTTTTTTTTTTAAAGTGAATTGTTTCTTGTTTTGGAAGGGATTCAGATAAATAAAAAGTTAAAGATTTGCCAACAAATACGAGAACAAATACACCATTTGGAGGGGATCAACTACCATACATATCCAATGCCCAAGGAAACAAAAACTAATTTTGCCCCCAACTTACAAAGATCAATGAATACAGAATTCAGAGAGAAAGTGTGATATTATTTTCTCAAAGGCATAATGAAAAATTTCCAAACCCAAACATCTTGGCAGACAATGGCTCAACTGAATAATCAAAACCCCAGGAACAATGGGCCACAGATGCAGAAAGGGCCCTGGGTGGTCAGGTTTGTGGTGGGGTGACAGCTTGCCAAGCAGCAAGGGCCCCTCTGAAGAGTTCTGCAGTTGTATTCTTTCTTCCTCAGGATTTAGGTCACAGGAGATGGTCCTGCTTTAAACCACCAACCTTCAAACCACCTCCAAAGCTGTCAATGCCTGGAGGAACTCCAGTCTTTGTCTGTGGTAGGGCAGACAAAGCTGACTGGAAGTTGGAAAGCATATTTTATTACATATGTGTTTGTTTTTTGACAGGATGGAAGGCAAAGGTTGTTGAAGTTATGAATGTCTGTTTCACAGAACTAAATATGAACAGCTTTATTAAGGAGATGGCTCATCCCAGGATAAAGACAGCAACAGATGATATAGAGAAGATTACACCAAACAAATCTGCTGTAAACTGCATTTACCCTTAGGAGATGATAAACTAAAGATGAAGGGAAGGGATAATGAATGAATGTTAAGAGCTAAAAACTATAAAACTCTTAGAAGAAAATATAGCAGTAAATCAACAAAACCTTGGATTAGGCAACAGTTTCTCAGATATCTCATCAAAAGCACAAGCGACAAAATTAAAAAATAGATAAATTGGACTTCATCAAAGTAAAACTTTTGCGTTCCAAAGAATACCATCAAGAAAGTAAAAAGACAACCCACAGAATGGAAGAAAATATTTGCAAATCATATATCTTAAGAGAATTGTAGCCAGAATATAAAAACTCTCACAACTCAACAATAAAAAAACAAATAACTCAATTTTGAAAGTGGACAAAGGGATAGACCTACAAATGTTCAATAAACACATGAAAAGATACTCAGTATCATTAGCCATCAGGGAAATGCCAGTCAAAACCACAATAGATACCATTTTATGCCCACTAGAATGGCTATAAGATAGATAATACTAAATTTTGTCAAAGATTTGGAGAAATCAAACCCTTACACATTGTTGATGAGAATGTAAAATGGTACACAATTTTTGGAAAACAATCTGGCAGTTCTTCAGAGTTAAAACAAAAAGTTACCTTGTGACCTAGCAATCCCATTCGAAGAGAGTTAAAAACATATTTTCCAACAAAAGCTTGTACATGAATGTTTATAGCAACATTATTCATTATGGCCAAAAAGTGGAAACAGCCCAAATAAATGTTCCTCAGCTGATGAGTGGGTAAATAAACGTGGTATGAACTTATGTTTTATTTATTCATTAAACCATAAAAAGCAATGAAGTACTGATACAGGCTACAACACAGATGAACCTTGAAAACATTATGCCAGCCTGGGCAACATGGTGAAACCCCGTCTCTGTCAAAAAAATACAAAAGTTAGCTGGGTGTGGTGGTGTGTGCCTGTAGCCCCAGTTACTCAGGAGGCTGAGGTGGGAGGATCGCTTGAGCCTGGGAGGCAGAGGTTACAGTGAGCTGAGATCACACCACTGCACTCCAGCCTGGGCGACAGAGTGAGACCCTGTCTCAAAAATAAAAAGAAAAAAAAAAAAAGAGAGAGAGAGAAAACAGTAAGCTAGCTGGGTGCAGTGGCTCATCCCCGCAATCCCAGAGCTCTGGAATCCCAGATGGGAAAATCGGTTAAGCACAGGAGTTTGAAGCTTCAGTGAGCTGTGATGGCACCGCTGCACTCCAGCCTGGATGACAGGGACTCTGTCTCAAAAAAAAAGAAAAGAAAAAAGAAAGAAAGAAAGAGAGAGAGAAAGAAAGAAAGAGAAGGAAGGAAGGAAGGAAGGAAGGGCCAGGCGCGGTGGCTCACGCCTGTAATCCCAGCACTTTGGGAGGCCGAGGCGGGCAGATCACGAGTTCAGGAGATCGAGACCATCCTGGCTAACACGGTGAAACCCCCTCTCTACTAAAAATACAAAAAATTAGCTGGGCGTAGTGGCGGGCACCTGTAGTCCCAGCTACTTGGGAGGCTGAGGCAGGAGAATGGTGTGAACCCGGGAGGCAGAGCTTGCAGTGAGCCGGAGATCGCGCCACTGCACTCCAGCCTGGGCGACAGAGCGAGACTCTGTCTCAAAAAAAAAAAAAAAAAAAAAAGAAAGAAAGAAAGAAAGAAAGAAAGAAAACTTTATGCTAAGTGGCTAAGTGAAAGAACCCAGGCTGGATGTGGTGGCTCATGCCTATAATCCTGGCACTTTGGGAAGCTGAGGTGGGTGGATCGTTTAAGCCCCGGAGTTCAAGACCAGCCTGGACAACATGGTGAGACCCCATCTCTATTAAAAATTTAAAATCTGGCTGAGCGTGGTGATGTGTGCCTGTAGTGCCAACTACTCAGGAGGCTGAGGTGGGAGGATCGCTTGAGCCTGGGAGGTTGAGGCTGCAGTGAGTTGTGTTTGTACCACTCTACTCCAGCCTAGGCAGCCTAGGCGACAGAGCGAGAGACCCTGTCTCAAAAAGAAAGAAAGAAACCATACATAGAAGACCCTGTCTCAAACAGAAAGAAACCATATATAAAAGAAACCATACATAAAACCATACATATTGTATTATTCCATTCATATAAAATATCTAGAATAGGCAAATCCACAAAGATGGAAAGTAGATTAGTGGTAGCCAAGGCCTAAGGGGAAGTAGGAATGGAGAGTGACTGCTAATGGATATGGGGTTTCTCCTGGGGGGCGATGAAAATGCTCTGGAGTTAGGAAATGCTGACGGTTGCACAGCTCTGTGCATACACTAAAGCTACTATATTGCACACTTTAAAAAGGGAGATTTTATGGATATTTGAACCATATCTCAATAAAGGTGTCAAAATAAATACATAAATTAGGAGGACTTCAATAAATAAAAAAATAAAGGGAGGTCACAGACTGTCTGATCCCATCTCTCAGCTGAGCAGGAGCCCGGAGTGCTGAGTAGTGACTTGGGTGGGGTGACCAGGCCTGGCTCATGCACCAGCTGCCAAGGTAGGAGTGAGGGCAGTCAGGAGGAGGCACCCACGGGCAGAAATGGAACCAACACCCATCGTCACTGTTCACTGGGAAAACTCCTGGTAGGTGGCAACCCAGGGAAACTGAGGCAACTGGAATTGAGCAAGAAGGATGGGCAGGAAGGTGGGAGCCAAGGTATTTCCTGAATTAAAGAGCACAGCCAATTCTATAGGTTGCCTGGAACAAGGTGTGAGCAGACAGAGAGCTATTAAGGGCACTAAGCAGAAATTGTGTAGCTTTTAAGGAGACTGACTTGTGTAAGTAGTCATCGACTATCTCCAAAGTGATTCGTGATATGACATTCATTTGATTCAGTAAGCTTTCGTGCCTACTGTGGTGCTAGACTGAAGCAATAAAAAGGAAAGTAAGGCCAGGAGTGGTGGCTCACGCCTGTAATCCCAGCAATATGGGAGGCCAAGGAGGGCGGATCCCTTGAGGTCAAGAGTTCGAGACTAGCCTGGCCAACATGGTGAAACCCCATCTCTACTAAAAATATAAAAATTAGCCGGGCATGGCAGCACGTGCCTGTGGTCCCAGCTACTCCAGAGGTTGAGGCAGGAGAATCGCTTGAACCCAGGAGACAGAGGTTGCAGTGAGCCGAGAACCTGCCATCACATTCCAGCCTGGGTGACAGAATGAGACTCCATCTCAAAAAAAAAAAAAAAAAAAAAAAAGTAAAGTAAGAGCCAAGACTCGCAGCCTGATAAAAATGACAGATGGTAAGTTACTCTATAGTACGACAGGTGCTATGATGAAAGTAGGTACCAGAGTACAGAAAAGGGTCATCAGATTCAGGTGGAACGCAGTGACTAAGCAGGTAACAATTTGATTCTCTTTGTCAATTGAGAAACTGAATTCAACTCAGTTTTAACTGGAGCATGTTCCTCCAAATGTCTCTTATGAATTAAGTTATGATCCCCTCAAAAAGATATGTTGGACCGGGTACGGTGGCTCACGCCACTGCAGGCAAGGCCGGCAGATAACCTGAGGTCGGGAGTTTGAGACCAGACTGACCAACATGGCAAAACTTTTTTTTTTTTTTTTTTGAGACAAAGTCTTGCTCTGTCACCCAGGCTGGAGTGCAATGGTGTGATCTCGGCTCACTGCAACCTCTGCCTCCTGGGTTCAAGCGATTCTTCTGCCTCAGCCTCCTGAGTAGCTGGAATTACAGGTGCCTGCCGCCATGCCCAGCTAATTTTTTGTATTTTTAGTAGAGTTTAGTAGAGTTTAGGGGTTTCACTCTGTTGGCCAGGCTGGTCTTGAACTCCTGACCTTGTGATCTGCCCGCCTCAGCCTCCTAAAGTGCTGGGATTACAGGCGTGAATCACCGCTCCCAACCTGTCTCTACTTAAAAATACAAAAATTAGTTGAGCGTGGTGGTGCAAGCCTGTAATCCCAGCTACTTGGGAGGCTGAGGCAGGAGAATCGCTTGAACCTGGGAGGTGGACGTCGCAGTGAGCCGAGATTGTGCCACTGCATCCTAGCCTGGGCAACAGAGCAAGACTCTGTTTCAAAAAAAAAAAAAAAAAGATATATTGAAGTTTTAACCCCTTAACCCAGTACCTCAGAGTCTGACCTCATTTGGAAATAGGTCATTGCAGATGTAATGAGGTAAGGTTAGGTTACACTGGAGTAGGATGGACCCCTAATCCAACATGACTGGTGTCATAAGAAGATGGCCATGTGAAGACAGAGACCCACAGGGAGAACAGGACGCGGGGAGCCTGGACTGCTTCTGCAGCAAGCCAAGGCAAACTACCAGCAGCTAGGAAGAGGCAAGGGAGGGTTCCGTGACCTCTATCAGAGGAAACGCGACCTTGCCAACACCCTGATTTTGGACCTGTAGCCTCTAGAACTGCGAGACAATGAATTTCTGTTGTTTTACGCCACCCAGTTTGTTGTATTTTGTTATGGCAGCCCAGGAAAACTAACACAGCGTCCCAAAGCTGAGGCGCTATCAGCTTGCACACAAAAGAAGTTTGTAGTCTTTACTTGAAGGGTTGTTTCCATTAAGAACAACAACAACAACAAAAATACCTTTAAATTCCCTGGGATTCCAATGCTGTTCCCGAGAGTGCTGGTTTCCTGATGGAGTCTGGTGCTGGCTCTAGGACCTCTTACTCTGGTGAAATGGACTCAGCTTCCTTGAGAAGCACCTGGAAATGTCATTTTCAGGTCCTATGTGAGACTCAATTAATGGATAAATTGGGCTTCTTTTTTCCAGGGCTTTGTTTTTTTTTTTTACTTTTTTTTTAGAGACGGAGTCTCGCTCTGTCTCCCAGGCAGGAGTACAGTGGCACGATCTCGGCTCACTGCAACCTCTGTCTGCCGGGTTCAAGCAATTATCCTGCCTCAGCCTCCCGAGTAGCTGGGATTACCGGCGCATGCTGCCACGTTTGGTTAGTTTTTTGTATTTTAGTAGAAACGGGGTTTCACCGTGTTGCTCAGGCTGGTCTCAAACTCCTGAGTTTAGTTAATCTGCCCACCTCGGCCTCCCAAAGTGCCGGGATTACAGGCGTGAGCCATCATGCCCAGCCTGTTTTTTTTACTTTTTTAAGAAATAAATTATTATTATTTTTTTGGGGGGGGCGGGTAGCTGGGCGCCGTGGCTCATGCCTGTAATCCCAGCACTGTGAGAGGCCAAGGCTGGTGGATCACTTGAGGTCAAGAGTTCGAGACCATCCTGGCCAACATGGCGAAACCCCGTCTCTACTAAAAACATAAAAATTAGCCAGGCATGGTGGCAGGTGCCTGTAATCCCAGCTACTCTGGAGGCTGAGGCAGGAGAATCACTTGAACCCGGGAGACGGAGGTTGCAGTGAGCTGAGATCACGCCACTGCACTCCAACCTGGGTGACACAAGGAAACTCAGTCTCAGAAAAAAAAAAAAAAAGAAAGAAAGAATTTTATTTTTTTAAATAGAAATAGAGACAGGGTCTCAATATGTTGCCCAGGCTCGTTTTGAACTCTTGGGCTCAAGCAATCCTTCTGTCTCAGCCTCCCAAAGCCTCCCAAAGTGTTGGGATTACAGGCATGAACCACTGCACCCAGTATATATATATATACATACATACATATACACACACACACACACACACACACATATATATATATACACATATACATATATATATACACATATATATATATTTTGGAGATAAGGTTTCAGTCTGTCCACCCAGGCTTAGGTATAGTGGGGTGATTACAGCTCATTGCAGTGTCAAACTTGTGGACTCGAGTGATCCTCCCACCTCAGCCTCTCGAGTAGCTGGCTGGGACTACAAATGTGCACCACCACACCCAGCTAATTTTTTAATTTTTTTATAGAGATGGGTCTCAATTTTTTGCCCAGGCTGGTCTTAAGCTCCTGGCCTCAAGCAATCCTCCTGTTAAGGGAGATAACAGACATGAGCCACTGCACCCAGCCCTTTTTTCTAGTTTTTAAAAGACACTGAAGAACTTACACTTCCATATATGTGATAGTCTTTCTCTTTCTTTCATTTATTCATTCAACAAACTTTACAGCACACCTACTGTGTGTCAATGGTGGATGGTCTCTGCCCTCACGGAGTCTGCAGCCTGGGGCGCCTTCTCATTACTGCACCTGTGCTGCTGCCGCCTCTATGCCTTTCTAGGCCTCCTCACTGAATAATGTCTGCCTAACTCATAGCATGTTCCCGGTGGTTACAACCTCCACCTTTGCAGGCGAATATGAGTTTTTGGACCATCCAGAGTCCTTCTGAACCATGTCTGAGGAATAAAATGTATGATTAAGCAGGAAAAAAAAAGATTAAGTCCTGATTTTTTCCTCTAAAAACCTCAGGAAAAAAAACCCAAAATATTTTAGTGGCAGTATCAACGGGATACATTTATAGCTCATAAGATGATGCTGTAGAAGAACAATGTTATTCAGATATAAAAAATGACTTATTACGTCATGGTCATAGAAGGAGAACCTTTTAAGTCAAGCCCAGGGTTCTCAAGAGGCAGCCTTTCTCTCATGTTTTTTTTTCTTTGTGTTATTCTTTCCTCTAGATAGAGGCGCGGGGTGAAGGGAGCGGTATCTTTCATCTCTTCTTTCTTTCTCTTGAGTACACAGATGGTGACTGGTGCATGGCTCAAACCTTTCATAGCTGCCAGGGCTTTCCAGACTCTTGATTGCCCTCATTATTTTTCCTGCCTTGTCCAGGGTTCTCCTTCCAAGGTCATCTTCTGGTTGTGATGTAAGCCTCATCACAGCTCCCATAACACATCACAAGACACATACACTACAGACACTCACAAAGCTGAACTGCAAGAGAAAACAGAAAGCAAGCTGGGCTTTCCATTCACATAGGAAAGCGTCTCAAGATGCCTGGGAAAGTGACTCCAGGGCTTCTGACCCAGTGAACTGAACCTACTTTCCTTCTTTTCTTTTCTTTTCTCTCTCTCTCTCTCTCTCTCTCCCTTCCTCCCTCCCTCTCTCTCTCTCTTTTTCTTTTCTTGAGACAGGGTCTCGCTCTGCCACCCAGGCTGGAGTGCAGTGGTGCAATCATAATTCACTGCAGTCTTTAACTCCTGGGCTCAAGCAATCCTCCCACTTCGGCCTCCCCAAGTGTTGGGATAACAGGCATGAACTGCCATACCCGGTCATTACTATTTCTTGACGCAAGTGTTGGTTACACAGAGAGCTGCTTTGTAATTATTTGTTAAATTGTCCAAATATGTTCTGTGCATTTTTTCTTTTCTTTTCTTTCCTTTCTTTCTTTCTTTTCCTTTCCTTCTCTTTCCTTCTCCTTCCTTCGCCTTCCTTCCTTCTTTCCTTCCTTCCTTCCTTTCCTTTCTTTCTTTCTTTTCTTCTTTTTCTTTTTTGAGACAGGGTCTTGCCCTATTGCCTAGGCAGGAGTGCAGTGGCACAACCACGACTCACTGCAGCTTCAACCTCCCAGACTCAAGCCATCCTCCCACCTCAGCCTCCCAAGTTTCTGGGACTACAGGCACATGCCACCACACCCGGCTAATTTTTTATTTTTTGTAGAGACAAGGTCTCGCCATGTGGCCCAGGCTGTTCTCAAACTCCTGGGCTCAAGTGATTCTCCCATGCCAGCTTCTGCAAGTGCTGGGGTTACAAGTGTGAGCCACAATGCCCAGCCTGAGCCTAGTTGCTAAGTCTAGAATATTCCTTCCTGGTGTGTGGACATAGCAAAGGTTAAATTCAGTGTTCCATAAGGCAATTGTATATCTGATGAGCACAATTTGTTATATCAGAAGACCACCATCTCTGCAAATCAGGAGGCTTTATTCACTCATTCATTCATTCATTTATTCACCAGATATGTATGAAGTGACAGACACTTTAATAGGCAATAGGAAATCTGAAGCTGGAAACACAGTCTGTGCCCTTGAGGGGTTCATGGCAGGGAGACAGATCTAAATAGAATCTGGTGTGATATGGCCTGAAGGTAGCCATGACTTCTTCGTCCACCCTTCTTCCTCTTTTTTTTTTTTTTTTTTTGATTGAGTCGGAGTCTTGCTCTGTTGCCCAGGCTGGAGTGTAATGGCACGATCTCGGCCCACTGCACCCTCTGCCTCCTGGGTTCAAGCAATTCTCCTGCCTCAGCCTCCCAAGTAGCTGGGATTACAGGCGCCCGCCACCATGCTCAGCTAATTTTTATATTTTTAGTAGAGACCGGGTTTCACCATGTTGGCCAGGGTGGTCTCGAACTCCTGACCTCGTGATCCGCCTGCCTCGGCCTCCCAAAGTGCTGGGATTACAGGCATGAGCCACTGCACCTGGCATGGTTTTTTTTTTTTTTGAGATGGAGTCTTGCTCTGTCGCCCAGGCTGGAGTGCGGTGGCAGGATCTTGGCTCACTGCAACCTCTGCCTCACAGGTTCAAGTGATTCTCCTGCCTCAGCCTCCCGGGTAGCTGAAACTACAGGCCTGTGCCACTATGCCCAGCTAATTTTTGTATTTTTAGTAGAGACAGGGTTTCATCATGTTAGCTAGGCTGGTCTCGAACTCTTGACCTCAAGTGATCCACTTACCTTGGCCTCCCAAAGCGCTAGGATTACAGGCGTGAGCCACCACACTCAGCCTTCAACCACACTTCTAAGCCCTGTAGATCCAGCCCAGCATCCAAATTACCCGCTCCAAAGGCATGAGCAGGAAAAGGAGGGGCAGACATCACACATCACCAACAAAACTTCCCAATCATCGCCTTTTAAAAACATCTCTGCTTCCTTCCCCAAAGTGCCCTCTCCCATTGCAGTTGCTGCACCTCAGCTCTCATCTCATCCCATCCCAAAAACTAAGATCTTAGCTTTTTCTCCCCTCCTCACATCACCCCTCCACTTGTAACCTGGTTTAGTGAAACAAGACTTGGCCCCAAGCATCTCTCAAGATTGCCTCTAAGGGGCCTCAATTCAAAGTGGTTTGGTGTTGCTGCACTATGACGTGAAAGCCCAGGGGAAGCCTGGAGTCAGAGGAAGGGCGATTCTCAGAAGCCAGACTAATTTTTGTAGTGGCTGCACCTACCCTTGATTTACTGAATCAGAATCTAAACCAAATTCCGTCTCTTTTTCTCTCTCTCTTTTTCTACGTGTTGAAAAAGTTGACTGGTCTGTTCTGCAGGACAAAGTTTCTCACAGTCTGAATGTTGCTGATCACAATATTGCTGTATTTCGTAGTAGTTAGATTTTGAGGTTAAAGTGGGTTCACGTGTGATTATTTTGGCCACACTACTTTTAGGGTTGCCAGGCTTAGTAAATAAAAATACAAGATGCCCAGTTAAGTTTTAATTTCAGATAATGAGCTTTTTTTTTTTTTTTTAATAGAGTCTTGCTGTATTGCCCAGGCAGGAGTGCAGTGGCGATCTCGGCTCACCGCAACCTCTGCCTCCCAGGCTCAAGCGATCCTCCCACCTCAGCCTCCCAGGAAGCTGGGACCACAGGTGCGCACCACCTCGCCCGGCTACTTTTTTAATTTTTTGTAAAGGTGAGGTCTTGGTATGTTGCCCAGGCTGGTCTTGAACTCCTGGGCTCAAGCAATCTGCCTGCCTCGACCTCCCAAAATGCTGGGATTATAGGTGTGAGTCACCGCGCCCGGTCCCTGAACTTTTTTTTTGGGGGGGTGGGGGCAGACAAAGTCTCACCCTGTTGCCCAGGCTGGAGTGCAGTGGCGTGATCTCAGCTCACTGCAACCTCCAAGTCCCTGGTTCAAGCGATTCTCCTGCCTCAGCCTCCTGAGTAGCTGGGATTACAGGCACGTGCCACTACACCCAGCTAATTTTTATATTTTTAGTAGAGACGGGGTTTCACCATGTTGGCCAGGATGGTCTCGATCTCCTGACCTCGTGATCCGCCCACCTCGGCCTCCCAAAGTGCTAGGATTACAGGTGTGTGCCACCATGCCCAGCCTGGTCCTTGAACATTTTTCAGCATATGTATGTCTCATGGAACGTTTGGGATATATTTATACTAAAATTTATTTGATATTTATTTGAAATCCAAATTTAACTAAACATTGTGTGTTTTATCTGGAAACCCAAACTACTTCACAAGATGTATTGTGTCCATTCGTCAGGAGCTGAATATCTGGCTCTCGCTCTTTTTGCGATGTTAGAAGCTGTTGATGATCATGGCCTAGACTGATTATTTCCCTAGAGGCTGTAAAATGATGATATTCTAATTCTATCTTTTTTCTTCATTTCTTAGCTGGAATATGTCTATAAAGAGGAACTTTTCCTTGTCAACTATTTGGATTCCTTGGTTATTTTCATACAGAGAAAGCAGGCTACATGCTTAACTCTGTCCTTTTCTTTACCAGTTTTCAGAATAATTAATTGGTTCCTTAGAACTTGCCAAAAGTGACCAATGGGTTGTGTTCTTGACTTTAAAAGTATCATTATGATCTCAGATTTTTTTCGTTTTTTTTTTTTTTGAGACGGGGTCTCACTCTGTAGCCCAGGCTGGAGTGCAGTGGTGCGATCTCGGCTCACTGCAACCTCTGCCTCCCGGGTTCACACCATTCTGTAGTCCCAAGTAGCTGGGACTACAGGTGCCCGCCACCATGCCCGGCTAATTTTTGTATTTTTAGTAGAGACAGGGTTTCACCATGTTAGCCAGGATGGTCTCGATCTCCTGACCTGGTGATCTGCCTGCCTCAGCCTCCCAAAGTGCTGGGATTACAGGTGTGAGCCACCACGCCAGGCCGAACTCAGGTATTTTGACATGTATATATTTTGACCCATTGCAGTTGTTATTCTTTCAGACACTCAAATTGTTCCATATTTGGCCAATGAGAGTCTCTTGAACTTGGCTATTGGGTCCTTTTGATGCCACCCCAACGGTCTTTGTTAGGTTCTTTGCTTTCTGGTGTAACAAGATGTTCCAGAATCATCTTAAGCATTTCTTAGCTCTGGCATGGAATTAGACATTTCTCTTAGGAACTCTTTTAGTAGGAAATGATATTTAGAGATCAAACATTTCCTACTCCCCAATTTAAAATTACAACCCCCTGCAACAAACACATAGACCTATGTTCCCTGAGATCCCCTTACCTGATCTACTTTTTTCCATGCGGTTATCACCTTCTAACATATGAATTTAATTATGTTTATTGCTTGTCTCTCAGCATGAGACTGTAAGCTTCTCAAGAGCAGAGACTTGTTCACTGTCTGATACATAGCACAATAGCAGACACTCAATAAATACCCCTTTAATGAGACAATGACTATATATCACCAAATTACTTTTTTTTTTTTTTTTGAGACAGCGCCTTGTTCTGTTGCCCAGGCTGGGGTGCAGTGGTGCGATCTTGGCTCACTGCAACCTCCGCCTCCTGGATTCACGTGATTCTCATGCCTCAGCCTCCCGAGTAGCTAGGACTGCCACCATGCCCCGCAAATTTTTGTATTTTTAGTAGAGACAGGGTTTCGCCATGTTGGCCAGGCTGGTCTCGAACTCCTGACTTCAAGTGATCTGCCCGCCTCGGCCTCCCAAAGTGCTGGGATGACAGGCATGAGCCGCTGCACCTGGCCCCAAATTACATTTTTGAAGTGTTCATTCTCACTTCTGGTGGAGAATGTATTTGGGAGGGACTGTTGTGAAGCAGGGAGGCCACTAAAGAGGCTTTTTCAGTTGTCCAGGGGAAAAATGAGGGTGGCTTAGACTAAGAATGTGTCTGCGGAAATGTAAAGAAAAGTGAGGTAGAGACAAGAGGTATTTAATATAACTGACTAAACATGGTGATGGGCTGGATGTGTGGGATGAGGGAAAAGGAAGAATGAAAAATGACTTCTAGAATTTGCCCTGTGCAAATAGATGGATAAAGAAGCTAAAGGGGTGAAAGGGAGGGGAGAGGAGAGGGAGAGATTTTGAGGATAAAGAGAATGAAGAGCTCGATTGTGGAAATGCATGATTGGAAGTGCCTGTTAGCCAGGTGGAGACATAAAGCAAGAGGAGGATGGATGAGTCTGGGCTCAGGCATGGAGATGTAAAATTGGGGGTCATCAGTATTTTGGTGGTATTTAGAGCTCTGGAGTAGATGAGATCATTTTGAGAGCTTTAGACAGCGACTAGATGCTATTTCAGAACCAAGCCCTAAAGTACCCCAACACTAATGGTCAGGTAAAGGAGAAGCCTGCCAAGGAGACTGAGAAGAGTCTATCTCTATAGCCATAGAGGTAGAGGAAAACCAGGAGAGAGTATCATCGTTAAAACGAAGAAGGAAGAATGCCTCAAGAAGGAGGAAGTGGTCAACTGTGTCAAATGCTACTGAAGGGTCAAGTTTTACGATGGCAGAGGTAGACCCATTAGATTTTGCAACGTATAAGTTGCTGGTGACCTTTACAAGGGAAGTTTCAGTGGAACAGTAGGGACAGATGAGTGAACAGGAAGAATGAAACCAGAGAGAGCAGACTCTTTCTTTTTTTCCTTTTTTTTGAGACAGGGTCTCGCGCTGTCACCCAGGCTGGAATGCAGTGGCAGAATCATAGCTCATTGCAGCCTTGAACTCCTGGGCTGAAGTGATCCTCCCACCTCAGCCTCCAGAGTTACTGGGGGTACAGGTGTGTGCCACCACGCTGGGCTAATTTTTAATTTTTTTTTTTTTTGTGAAGACAGTGTCCAACTATGTTGCCCTGGCTGGCCGCCAACTCCTGGCCTCAAACGATCCTTCTGCCTCAGCCTACCAAAGCATTAGGATTACAGGCGTGAGCCTCCACACCTGGCCCTGACTACTATTTCAAGAAGTTGGAAAGAGATGCAGAGGCGAGGAATGGGTATAGTCAAGATGGGAGATGCTGTGTAATAACGAGACGCCCCTGTGTAGTAGGAGAGCCTACTGACACAGGACTGAGAAGAAACCGAAGACTGTTGGCAACATCCATGCAAGAAATAAGAAGGACCTTCACGCCTGCAATCCCAGCACTTTGGGAGGCCGAGGCGGGCAGATCACGAGGTCAAGAGATCGAGACCATCCTGGATAACACGGTGAAACCCCGTCTCTACTAAAAATACAAAAAAAATTAGCTGGGCGTGGTGACGGGCGCCTGTAGTCCCAGCTACTCGGGAGGCTGAGGTAGGAGAATGGCGTGAACCCGGGAGGCGCAGCTTGCAGTGAGCCGAGATTGCGCCACTGCACTCCAGCCTGGGCGACAGAGTGAGACTCTGTCTCAAAAAAAAAAAAAAAAAAAAAAAGAAATAAATAAGAAAGACCTGAACCAGGACAGGGAAAAACAGCTAATGGAATTTATGAAGCAGGTTGACCTTGGAGTCCCCCAATTCCAGGCCAGGAGGCAAATGCCAGGGTACATCGTTTCTCGGGATCCAAACCTACCTGCCAAACAGACTATCCTCTCCCCACTGTCACCCCAAATCAACACACAGACAGAAACACCTGACCCTTTTGAAAAGCATAGAAAGCAGGACACACACTGGGATCCTGAACAAATGCCCAGCTCCATGTAGGGTGGCCTGATTTGGGTTCAAAGGCGAGAAAGCACACGGGGTTTCCTTGCTCCCCCACTAGATTTAAGTAGGGTTTTAAAGCACTCTTCTCTGGCTACCCAGGGATTAACCATGTGTTTCAGCAAGTAATTTAAAATCATTATTCGTCTCCTTTGGTTGAACCCCAAACGTTTGAAATGTACACAGCTTGGCAGGCTGGACAGTGCAGCTGAGCATCCAGAGGCCATGTCCCAACCATCTGTTGCCCCACTTAATTCCAGCTTTCTGCCCTTCCCGCGGCTGGGGAGCGCTGGGCTTGACAGGCAGATGCAGGACAAAGACAACTGCAGCCTTGGCTTCAAACAGTTGCTCATACAGTGTCTTGGGTGGTGGTGGGAGGGACGGGGAAATCATTGAGTTGATTTTAGGTGCTTTGCCTTGACATATGGAGTTTTTCCTCCACCTTAGAGATCCAGAGAGTTTTAGAGACGAAGACTAAGGACCTTTTCTTTCCCTTCCATCAGGGCGGATCAGTGGATTTCAAACTGTGCTCAGCTACTCTGAGGTCATTCAGCAGTGCCAATGGAAAGATTAGAATCTCATTACAATTATATTTAATTTTTTTTCTTTTTTCTTTTCTTTTTTTTTTTTTTTGTCTGAGACAGGGTCTCACTCTGTCAGCCAGGCTGGAGTGCAGTGGCATGATCTTGGCTCATTGCAGCCTTGACCTCCCCTAGGTCCCATCTCAGCCTCCAGAGTAGCTGAGACTATGGGCGCATGCCACCATGCCCAGCTAATTTTTTTTGTATTTTTTTATTCCTTAAATATGGGCTTTTGCCATGTTATTCAGGCTGCTCTCAAACTCCTGGGCTCAAGCAATCCTCCTGCCTCGGCCTCCCAAAGTGCTGAGATTACAGACGTGAGCCACCACGTCTGGCCCTATTTAAATACGTTTTAAAACAGCTATTAAAACGTTTAGGGGACAGGTTTGGTGGCTCACACCTGTAATCCCAGCACTTTGGCAGGCTGAGGCGGGAGGATAGCTTGAGTTCAAGACCAGCCTGGGCAACATAGCGAGACCTTGTCTCTACAAAAAAAATTGAAAAATTAGCCAAGTATGGTGCCATGTGCCTATAGTCTTAGCTACTTGGGAGGCTGAGGTGGGAGGATCACTTGAGCCCAGGAGTTCGGGGTTTTAATACACTGTGATCGTACCTGTGAATAGCCACTGCACTCTATCCAACCTGGGTGTCATAGCAAGACTCTGTCTCTAAAAATGTATATGAAAAAGTTTAGTCCATAACAATATAAATGCGTTAAATACTTACTTTTATCATGTCAAGACCTTGGTGATCTAAGTTGCATCACCAGGTAAACTAATTTCTTAAGAGGGCAGCCAATTTTTTTTTTATTAATAGATTTTATATTTTAGAAAAATTTTAGGCCGGGCACGGTGGCTCACACCTGTAATCTCAGCACTTTGGGAGGCTGGGGCGGGTGGATCACGAGGTCAGGAGATCAAGACCATCCTGGCTAACACGGTGAAACCCCGTCTCTACTAAAAATACAAAAAATTAGCCAGGCATGATGGCACACGCTTGTAATTCCAGCTACTCAGGAGGCTGAGGCAGGAGAATCGCTTGAACCAGGGAGGTGGAGGGTGCAGTGAGCCTAAATCATGCCACTGCACTCTAGCCTGGGTGACAGAGCGAGACTCCATCTCAAAAAAAAAAAAAAGAAAAAAAGAAAAAAGGAAAGAAAAATTGTAGATTTGCAGAAACATTGAGCAAATTATATAGAGTTCCCATGTTACCTTCTCCTTTCCAGCAGCCAATTTCTCCTATTATTAACATCTTAAATTGATAGTGTACATTTGTCACAATTGATAGACCAGGTTGACACATTATTAACTAAAGTCCATAATTTATTCATATTTCCTTAGTTTTTACCTAAAGGCCTTTTTCTGTCCCCAGATCCTGTTTAAGATAATACCTTACATTTTGCTGTCGTATCTCCTTAGGCTTCTCTTGGTTGTGACAATTTTTCAGACTTTCCTTGTTTTTGATGACCTTCTGAGTTTTGAAGAGTACTAGCAGAGAATTTTGTAGGATGGCCCTCTAGTGAGATTTATCTAATGGTTTTCTCACAAGTAGACTGGAGTTAAGAGACTTGGGAAGGAAGATCACAGAGATAAAGGTGTCACTTTCATGATATCATATCAAGGGTATGTACTATCAACATGATTTATGAGTGCTGATGTTGACCTTGATCACCTAGCTGAAATAGTGTTTGTTTTTATTCTTTCTTTCTTTTTTTTTTTTGAGATGGAGTCTCACTCTTATCACCCAGGCTGGAGTACAATGGCACAATCTCAGCTCACTGCAACCTCCGCCTCCCTGGTTCAAGCAATTCTCCTGCCTCAGCCTCCCAGGTAGCTGGGATTACAGGCACCTGCCACCCCACCTGGCTAATTTTTGTATTTTTAGTAGAGATGGGGGTTTCACCATGTTGGCCAGGCTGGTCTTGAACTCCTGACCTCAATGATCCGCCCACCTTGGCCTCCCAAAGTGCTGGGATTACAGGTGTGAGCCACTGCACCCAGCCTGGTGGTTTATGGATCATTTATTCTTTTCTAAATTAAAAAGTATGTAAGTACGGATTCACAGATATTTTTCTACACTTTGGGTTGTAATCCAATACTACTTTATTTTGTTGGTGACATTGTTCCAACTTTGGCCACTGGGACACAGTTGACTCCTGTGCCTCTCTGACATACCCCCATCTGTGTAGTATTTTTTTAGACGGAGTTTCACTCTTGTTGCCCAGGCTGGAGTGCAATGGCGTGATTTTGGCTCACCACAACCTCCGCCTCCCAGGTTCAAGCAAGTCTCCTGCCTCAGCTTCCCAAGTAGCCGGGATTACAGGCACGTGCCACCATGCCCGGCTAATTTTGTATTTTTAGTAGAGACAGGGTTTCTCCATGTTGGTCAGGCTGGTCCCGAATTCCCAACCTCAGGTGATCTGCCCGCCTCAGCCTCCCAAAGTGCTGGGATTACAGGCGTGAGCCACCGCGCCCGGCAGTAATTTTTTCTAAACTCAATTTTGTGCAGACTTTGGCACAAGCTCCTCCCAGCATCTCTAAGCCCAGCTGGCACCGAGATGGGTGTGTCAAGCGGATGTTGCAGTGTTGTGCCAGCCTGGGCACGTCTGCTTGTGAAGAGCAAAGCAATGAAGAGCCGAGAGCTTCCTGCAGTTGGGTGTACCAGGCTCCATAAACCACCAGGCCTATAACAGGGAACACCACCGGCAGAGTGATGAAATTGTCTTGTTTGTTTAATATTTGTCATAAGTTTCAGTTGTTTATTGCCTGATTTTTATGTTTATGATGACGAAAAGCAGTTGTTCGATATTTTGATAATTACTCCGTTTTTTTTTTTTTTTTTTTTTGAGACAGAGTCTCGCTCTGTCACCCAGGCTGGAGTGCAGTGGCATGATCTGGGCTCACTGCAAGCTCCGCCTCCGGGGTTCATGCCATTCTCCTGCCTCAGCCTCCTGAGTAGCTGGGACTACAGGCGTCTGCCACTGTGCCCGGCTAATTTTTTGTATTTTTAGTAGAGACGGAGTTTCACCGTGGTCTCGATCTCCTGACCTCATGATCTGCCCGCCTCCGCCTCCCAAAGTGCTGGGATTACAGGCGTAAGCCACCGCGCCCGGCCTCAACTTTGAAACAAATACTTCTACTACTTCTCTTTCTAGCTTCTAGATTGGTTTTTTTTTTTTTTTTTTTTTGAGACGGAGTCTCACTCTGTTGCCAGACTGGAGTGTAGTGGCGCGGTCTCGGCTCACTGCAACCTCCGCCTCCTGGGTTCAAGCGATTCTCCTGCCTCAGTCTCCCAAGTAGCTGGGATTACAGGCATGCGCGACCACACCTGGCTGATTTTTTTGTATTTTTAGTAGAGATGGGGTTTCACCATGTTGGCCAGGCTGGTCTTGAACTCCTGACCTTGTGATCCGCCTGCCTCGGCCTCCCAAAGTGCTGGGATTACAGGCATGAGCCACTGCGCCCGGCCTCTAGATTGGTTTAATCGAAGACATTCTAATCTCAAAAGATAATCTGAAAAAAAATCCTTTAGCAGGAGTTAAGAGCACAAATCCTGGATTGGGACTGCCTAGATTTAAGTCCTTGACCTCGGACAAATCACTCCTCTGTCCTTCAGTTTTCTCATTTACGAAAGGGGGATGTTAATGATAGACTCCCTTCAAAAGGTTTGTTAAGTGAATTAATAAATGCAAAGTGGTTAAGACAGGGCCTGGCATATAGTGAGTGCTATGTAATAGTTTTTTTGTGGCTGTCATTGTTGTGTCTCGCTTTGTCACTCAGGTTAGAGTGCAGTGGTGCGATCATGGCTCACTACAGTCTCAACTTCCTGGGCTCAAGCAATCCTCCCACCTCAGTCTCCCAAGTAGCTGGAACTACAGACCCGCACCACCATGCCTGGCTATTTTTTAAATTTTTTTTGTAGGGATGGGGTCTCACTATGTTGCACAGGCTGGTCTTGAACTCCTGGGTTCAAGTGATCCTCCTGCCCTAGCCTCCCAAAGTGCTGGGATGACAGGCAGGAGGCACCGTGCCCAGCCAGTAATAGTTGTTATCATTATTATTTATAACCATCCATCTGTATGATTAGAATTTTCTCAGAACCGTGTGTACCAAAGCAAAATACAAAAATAAGTTGGATGCGGAGACTGAAATAAGACTGTGAATTGGTCAGAACTCTGACTTAAAAATGCAACAGAAACTGGCTCTGGATAATTTAAAACAGAAGAGGGATTTTTGGGAAGGATGCTGGGCAGCCCACAGAGTCTCTGGGAAGGCTGAAGAGCCAGGTTCAGGGCATGAATGAGAACAAACGGTGCCAGACAGCAGCCAGGAGCATGGCCAGAACTGTGGTGCACAAGCTATCCAGAGAGTCCTGCTCTGTTCTCAGAGCCCTGGGCAGCTGTGCCACAACCATGGCTGGGGTCTGAACCATGACCCTGCTGCTGTTGCCCTGGAATCTAGACAAGGCTGCAGTAGCCATGGCCACTTCCACCAGAAAAGGTTCTGTGTTGGGCTCTGGCTTGGTCCAGGCTCCTCAGTCCATGGCACCTGATGGGCCCAGCCCAGATCACATGACTAAACCCTGCAGCTAAAGGAGGCTGAGAAGCATCTGGCATTTTCAGCCTCTATGTTGACGGCTAAGCAACAGGCTCCAGCTTCCACGAAGACTCCTAAGATGGCATCTTCCACAAACCTGGGAAGGGACTCCAAAACTGAGTAGCCAAAAAGTAACAAACATTACTCATCACCCTGCTTTTAAATTTTGTTCCATAATATTGGCATCATTGATGGACTTTATTTTTTTATTTTTTATTTTATTTTATTTTTTTGAAACGGAGTTTCGCTCTTCACTCAGGCTGGAGTGCAGTGGCGTGATCTCGGCTCACTGAAACCTCTGCCTCCGGGGTTCAAAGGATTCTCCTGCCTCAGCCTCCCAAGTAGCTGGGATTACAGGCGCCCACAACTACGCCCAGCTAATTTTACAAAAAACTACCAAGTTTTAGTAGAGACAGGGTTTCACCATGTTGGCCAGACTGATCTCGAACTCCTGACCTCATGATTCACCCACTTCGGCTTCCCAAAGTGTTGGGATTACAGGTGTGAGCCTCCGTGCCTGGCCCATTGATGGACTTTATAACAAGCACTGGCCCAGTGCTCTGGTATCCCTTGTATTTTTCCTTTTTAAAAAAATAGAGATGGGATCTCTCTATGTTGCCCAAGCTGGAGCGCAGTGGTACGATCTTGGCTCACTGCAACCTCTCCCTCCTGGTTCAAGCAATTCTCCTGCCTCAGCCTCCTGAGTAGCTAGGATTACAGGCGTGCGCCACCACACCCAGCTAATTTTTGTATTTTTAGTAGAGATGGGTTTCGCCATGTTGGCCAAGCTGGTCTCGAACTCCTGACCTCAGGTGATCCTCTCTCCTCGACCTCCCAAAGTGCTAGGATTACAAGTGTGAGCCACCGCGCCCGGCCGTATTTTTCCTTTTTTTAAAGACTAGAGATGGAATCTCACTATGTTGCCCAAGCTGTACTGCAGCAGCTATTCACAGGCAGACCACAGCTCACTGCAAACTCAAACTCCTGAGCTCAAGTGATCCTCCCGCCTTAACCTCTCAAATAGATGGGACTACAGACGAACACCACCATGCCTAATTTTGTATTTTTTTTTTTAATGGAGTCTTGCCCTGTTGCCCAGGCTGGAGTACAGTGGTGCAATCTCAGGTCACTGCAACCTCTGCCTCCCGGGTTCAAATGATTCTCCTGCCTCAGCCTCCCGAGTAGCTGGGATTACAGGCACGTGCCACCAAGCCCAGCTAATTTTTGTATTTTTGGTAGTGATGGAGTTCCACCATGTTGGCCAGGCTGGTCTCGAACTCCTGATTTCAGGTGATCCTCCTGCCTCGGTCTCCCAAAGTGCTGGAATTACAGGCGTTAGCAACTACACCCAGCCTAATTTTGTATTTGTTAAATCAACAGATGCCAAAATGAACACTACTGTCATGTGGACTCTTTGAAATGTTTTGCTTTTAAAAATAAGTCTTCATGTTGGAAGGTTGCAAACCCTTAACATCGTCCCAACACTGCTTTCCAAAGTGGAGAAATGGAGGCCCGAGGGGTGAAGTGACTATGCAAGTCCACACAGTTGGTTTAGTAGCAGGACTGGGCCTCGTGTCGCAGTTCTCAATGTTGCCTCATTGCTGTGCTGCCAGCAGCCAGCTCAGGAACAGGCCCAGCCCTCCAGCCCCACAGCCACCTCCTTCTCAAAGCAGGTCTTGACAGGAACCCAAAGCTGCTCTGGAATACTGGCCTGTGGCTGCTGCTGCTGCTTTCCTCACCTTTATCTTCTGGGATGGGAAGTCCTGAGTGGCTTTCTCTCTGCCTTCTAGCTCCTCCCTGGAGACAGGAAGAAAAAAAAAAAGAACAAGGCTGACAACAACCCCTGCACTGGGAGCGCTCTCCTTCCTGATGGTGCTGGGCCTGGGAGGACCTCGCCTAATAGACTCTGACCTCTGCTAGGCTCCACTCAGCCTCCTCTCAGAGCTGCTCACCTCCTGCCCTCACCTTTGACTTGCTCCAGATCCTACAAACCAGAGTTCCTGGTCCTGCCTTCCTGCCCTAGTTCCCGGTCCCATGCTTTGGTTACATCCTGACATGGGCTGTGTGTGCCCAGCACCGGAACTGCCTGTCTCCTTGCCTGGCCAGCCCGATCTGGAGCCAGCCACTCCTCAGGAAGTTCCGGAAACAGGGCTCATACCCTACCTTCCCTGGCATCCTCAGCACCCCACAGGCCTGGCCCTGCAAACCCTCGTTGAAAGGAGGAATGACCTGTTCTGTGTGAGTGCTGCCCATGCCTCATCATGACAAATTAGAGCAAAGGGAGGTGGAGGTGCTGAGAGGGCATTTCTACCAAACTATGAGCGACTTCTCTTATACACTACCTGGGGGGATGTCTGTCTTGTGTTGAGACCAGTTATTTAGATCTGAAATCAAAATGTCATAAACAAGATCTGGGCTGTGACCTGCCCAGGCCAGAGCAAGGAAAACTGGTCTTGGGAATCCAGAAAGAACTTCAGGATTAGGCAAAGTCTGCTGAGCTAAACCAAGAAGTGAGATATTCATTCATTCATTCATCCATTCAATAAATATGTATTGAGCACCATGTGTGTCAGGTTCTAAGAGAGTTACCCAGAGATTCAATGGTAAATGAGACATACTCTCTGCCTGCAAGGAGCTTAGAATGAGGAAGACAAAGCAGAGAACTGGTATCTACCATAGATTATGATGTAGGCTAGAATAATAATAGCTAACATTTATGGAGTGTTCACTATATGCCAGAATCTGCACTAAGCTGTTGAGGCTGCATTGTTTCATATAATCCTTACAGAAACCGTATTAGTAGATATTATTATTATTCCATCTTACAGATGAGGAAATGGAGGCACAGAGAAGTGACTTGCCCAATGTCACACAGCTGGGGCATGTAGCATACCAAGAGTTTAAATCCAGGCTGGGTGCGGTGGCTCATGCCTGTAATCCCAGCACTTTGAGAGGCCAAGGCAGGCAGATTGCTTGAGGCCAGGAGTTCAAGACCAGCCTGGGCAACATGGCGAGACCCTGTCCCTACAAAAAGTACAGAAAATTAGTTGAGCATAGTGGTGTGCCCCTGTAGTACCAGCTACTTGGGAGGCTGAGGTGGGAGGATCGCTTGAGCCCAGGAGGCAGAGGTTGCAGCCCTGATTATGTCACTGCATTTCAGCCTGGGTGACAGAGTGAGACCCTGTCTCAAAAATAAACAAATAAGTAAGTAAATCCAGGAAGTTAGACTCCAGGGCCTGCGCTTCCAGAGGAAAGCACAGGGTATTACTGTAGCACAGAGAGATGAACCCGACATGGGAGGGCAAGGAAGGCTTCCTTGAGATCACATGTGAGCAGAGTCCAAAACAATCAGGCAGAATTGGGAGAATAGGGGAGGAAAGGGCATTCCAGACTGAGGGAACAGCATGTACAAAGACTGGCGGCGAGAGGCCATAGCGCGTTAATTACTATTTAGTGAGTACCAACTGTGTGTCAAGGACATCTAGAAGCCTTCAGGGACTGTAATCAGTATCAAATGACTGGCTTGTCTGGGATGAAGAGAAGACTGGGGAGAGAAGCAGCTGGAAGGTACAGGAAGTACCGGTTCACAAAGGTCTTAAAAATCCAGGCTAAGGAGTCAAGACTTTATCCACAGGACAGTGGGGGAGATGCTGAAGGATAAGCAGAGAGTTTTCTAATCAAGCTGTACCTCAGTAAACTCACTTTGAACCATACTACTTAAAGGAATGGAGGCAGGCAAGGCTGGAGGGCACACTAGATGCCCAGTCAGGAGATGATGGTGGCCTGAAGTGGGGACTGGCAGTGGCATGAGAGAGAAGTAGCCTAGGTTTGATTACTTCATTGGAGGGGAGCTCACCATCAGACCAGAAGACTGGTGGGGACCAAGATACCAGCCGAGCCTCAGAGGGTCAAGGGTCAGCAATGGCCCAATGCCAGGCAGTTGGCCAAAGTCTGAACAAGTGAGTAGATGGAAGGAGAAAAACCCAGCAGGAGTTGGCAGGGACCCTGCAGCAGGAAAGGACTCCAGCCCCTGGGGGACTGATGAAGAAAGAGAATTTTCCACCAGACAGCTGGGGACAGGGGAGACAATGGAAAACCAGAACCAGGAAGGTGGGTCCCTCAGGCTGGCAGCCACACTGAGGATGCTCAGCTTCGAGAAACGGATGGAGTTCCTTTTGTGTCCCTCCTCCTCCCTGGTCCTAAACACCCCCTTCCATGGCAGGTGGATTCTGTTTTTTTTTTTTTCTTTTTTTTTTTTTTGAGATGGGGTCTCACTCTGTCAACCAGGCTGGAGTGCAGTGGCGCGATCTCAGCTCACTGCAACCTCCACCTCCCAGACTCAAGTGATCCTCCCTCCTCAGCCTCCTGAGAAGCTAGGACCACAGGCATGCACCACCACGCCTGGCTACTTTTTGTATTTTTGGTAGAGACGGGGTTTTGCCATGTTGCCCAGGCTAGACAGGTAGATTGTTTAATCAGGTCGGGTAAGAGGGGGCAATGTGGTAAAAGGGAAAGAGCAGGAGCTTTGAAGTCAGAGTCTGAGTTGAACCTCATCCTTGAGCCACTCACTAGCTCTGTGACTTCAGGCAAGTTACTTAACCTCTCTTGAGCCACAGCTCATTCATCTGTAAAAGGAGAATAAACAACAACTACTCCCCAGGGCTTGCTGAATGGGAACAGCACCACCAGCTCCTGCAGTGGAGTTATTGTGAGGATGCAGTTGACATTTGAAAGCCCAGGGCCTGGCACCAGGGTGGGAGCTCAGTCAATTCATCAACCATTCCCCTTCATCAGAAGCCATCCCTGTGCAGGACCTTGGGCTGAGGGTTTCCTGTGCTATGTTATCTCCCTTTTAACAAATCCAGGGAGATATCACCATTTCATTTGGTAGGCCAGGAATCAGGGTCAGAGACTTAAGAAACATGTCCAATATCACATAGCATTGGTTCTCCAAACTTTAGTCTTGCATCTTCCGCACAACTTTTTCGATATCAACTGACCATCTATACTATTTTTTACTTAATATTTTATTTAAATTAGTCCCTTTTTTACATTAATCAATGTACTCTTTTATTTAAGAGATGGGGCTAGACACGGTGGCTCACGCCTGTCATCCCAGCACTTTGGGAGGCTGAGGTGGGCGGATCACTTGAGGTCAGGAGTTTGAGACCAGCCTGGTCAACATGGTGAAACCCTGTCTCTACCAAAAATACAAAAATTAGCTGGGTGTGGTGGTGCATGCTTGTAATCCCAGCTACTCGGGAGGCTGAGACACAAGAATCGCTTGAACCCAGGAGGCAGAGGTTGCAATGAGCCAAGATTGTGCCACTGCACTCCTGCCTGGGTGACAGAGCAAAACTGTGCCTCAAAAAAAAAAAAAAAAAAAAAAGATGGGGTCTCACTATGTTGCTCAGGCTGGAGTGCAATGGCTAGTATTCACAGATATGATCATAGCACACTACAGCCTTTTCAAGAGACCCACCTGCCTCAGGCTCCCGAGTAGCTAGGACTACCGGCACATACCTGGTTCCAACGTATGTTTTTCTTTTTCTTTTTTTTTCCACATCAGATGGGTAATGTGCTGACAATATAACAAGGTTTGAGTGAGGCACATCTCACACATGAAAGTGAAAAGCCAATCGTCATGCTTATGAACTACAAAAGGATACCAATTTAAATTTTTTTTTTTTTTTAAGACAGAGTCTCACTCTGTTACCCAGGCTGGAGTGCTGTGGTGCAATCATAGCTCACAGCAGCCTAGACCTCCCAGGCTCAAAGTAAGCCTCCTGCCTCAGTTTCCTGAGTAGCTGGGACTAGAAGAGTATGCCACCATGCCTGGCTAATTTTTTTGACTTTTTGTAGAGCCAGGATCTCACTATGTTGCCCAGGCTGGTCTCAAACTCCTGGGCTAAAATGATCTTCCCACCTCGGCCTCCCAAAGTGCTGGGATTATAGGCATGAGCCACCATGCCTGGCCTCAATTTACTTTTTAAAACGGCTTTCTGGGATGTAATTCACATACCATCCAACTCACCCATATAAAGCTTACAATTCAGTGGGCTTTTTTTTTTTTTTTTTAGGTATATTCACAAAATTGTGCAACATTACCACAATCAATTTTAGAACATTTTCATAATTAATTTACTTTTAAAGGAAACTTTGCATCATTCTTATAAGTGGAAAACTTGAATTATTTGCCACAAATGGAAGGCAAAACAAAAATAAAGCAAAGAGAGCTGGGCAATGTTATTAAATGCTATCTAGCTAGCACTGCCTGTGAAGTATCTGAACTTGAGACTTCTCTCTTTGCCAAAAAGGGAGGATGGGAGGTATTGAAGAGTTGTTGAAGACACACCAGCACTAACCTGAGACTCTCTCTTTGACATAATCAGAAAAACAAAAAGAGAACTGAAAAGAAAAATTACTTTTTCAATATATAATTTAATGCCACATCTCTGAGCCATCCAAAATCATCTTAAGTCTACGTCCCCACCTGCCTCCTCCAGGTAATTTAAGTGGCTTGCCCAGTGTCACACAGCTAGGTAGTGGCAGACTAAGCCTAGAATTCAGGCTTCTTAACTGCTAATGCTATGTCCTTTCCACTACGTCATAGTCCTCTTTGCAATCATTATTTTAAATTAGGTCAAGTGCCTAATGTGTATGCTAGGCAGCCCTGTTACAGATTTATAAAGCATAAATTTTACAGCTAGAAGGCACATCAGAAACAATCTAATCTAACTCATTTCATTTTACAGATGAGAAAACCAATAAGTTTGTTCTCTTAAGCATGTTTAGAATTGCCTGTCAGTCAATTGGCTGGAACATACAACCAACAATATAGCTATAAACAGCCCAGAATTACAATGATCTTTCTCTGGTCTCAGCCTTAAACCAAACTTCCGGATATCTCAGCCCTGTCACCAGGTCCTGGTTTAGCCTCAGTCTTGCTCTTTAATTTGGTCTGTTCTCACTTCTACATGAGTAGTTTCCCCTTGACCTAAACTGCCTAGGTGGCTTTAAGGATCACAGGGGTGAGGGGAATTCGTTGGTGGATTGAAGGAGTGTGTTATATGAGAAAGAAATGAGAGCTTGTCAAGAACTGTGGAGGGTTTAAGATTTTATCCTACTTGCAGGCTAACAAGTGAGCCTGCCGCAGTTTCATGGATGCTGGCAGAAAACACAAGACTTCTAGGTGTGTCTGAAACAAAAGGTCTTATTTGCTCATAGCAATAGCAATAGCAATAGCAAAAATACTGACATTTTCTTGTGCTCATTTCCTGAGTCCCAGTTCCCAAAGACAATGCAAAGGGGGCCAGGTGACATCTGTACACACAGCAAAGCATATCACAAGAGAGCACAGCTTTAAGCTTGGGGAACCAGAATCTTTTTTTTTTTTTTTTTTTTTTGAGTCAGCATATTGCTCTATTGCCCAGGCAATCATAGCTCACTGCAACCTCAAACTCCTGGGCTCAAGCAGTCCTCCTGCCTCTGCCTAGGTGTGAGCTGAAGCATCCTGCTCAGAATCTTAGCTAATGGACAGTAAGCATGCTTTACTTTGTTCTGGGAAAGCAGCTCTGTTAAAAAGTTGGTTTGAAACAAAGGGCAGTGACTCCGCTCACAAGGCATGCAGACATGGGAGAGACCCACGGAGAATTGTCTTCCAACAAGTGTTATGTACGTGCAGTCTGTGGAAAGTGAGCTCATGGTTCTCTGCCATACTGGAAAGCACAGGGTGAGGAAGATGGAGAACCAGAAGCCCAAGTCCACTAGTGCTTTCTGTTCTATATTGATTCTTATTGGTTTCAGTAATGGAAAGAGCATTTGGAGGCTTGCTTGTGGATTTTGACACGTCTTATTTTTTGATGTATACAGCCCTCAATTCACAGCCTTGACTGGGTTTAGACAATTCAAATCATTCCTTTGCATAGCTATTAGAAAACCCTAGAAGCTCCAAAAATTCACAATTGGGAGAAAGAATATAACCTCCCAAATGTTATCTGCTTCCTGAAAATAATGCACGCTGGGAGAACCCAGGGTGGCCCCACTGCAGTTGGTTTTGGAATGTTCATTCATCTCTTGCATCATATTTATCAATACCTAAAATAAATGTGCTAAGATCTAACAGTCACCATGATGCAGTCACCAAGATTCCTGACTTGGTCTAGTTTCTCATCTGAAATGAGGACTACATGGGCCATGAAGTAAGGTGTTATTTGTTATGTGGGGTCCACATCTGAGGCAGATATTTTGCGTCTATAACCAAGACCTTGAATCCAGGCCTCTGGCTGTCAGGAATAATGGCTGTTCGTTTTATTCCTCTGCCTGGAGAAGAATAAATTCCTAGGCTAAAGAAAGGCCAAAGCAACTGAGGACAGGAGCTCATAGATACTGCTGGAACCATACCAGGACCTGGGATGTGGTCCACAGAGGAATTCTGTGGCATTCCATAGGTCCTCAGGCTCTTTGCAACCAACTCAGATGGGAGTTAACCTGTTGACTGGACTCAGGCAATGAGTTCCTGGCAGGTGAGTCAGTGGCCACACCCTCCAACTGGGGGCAAAGGGCAAAAATTATGTCAGTAAAACAAGGCCAAGCACAATGGTGCAGGGCAAAGGCCATTTGAGTGGGATATCTTTAGCTGGTGATTCTAAAAGAGTGATATGGGAACCACAGATGTTCCCGCAGATGTGGTAGGCTTCTCTAGATAAATATAAATATAAATATAAATATAAATATAAATATAGAACTGGCTATCCAAAGAGGTCCTTCTAGCTCATTGCCTCCTGGAGAACTCTACTTGGAATTGGGAAGTAAAAGGGGATAAATTAGAGGGATCATGGAGTCTTTTGCCCTGTCCAAGCAATCCATAAACTATTGCTTTTATGCACCGTTCCTTGGTGCTATCGTGAAGAATTTCAGTTCATGAAGATCCCTGAAGATCTGCAGCCCCTTATGGACTCTATACTGTCACACACCTGGTTGCTGTAATCCCCAGATATTACCACACCCAGAAGAGGAAGACTTCCTTCTTCCTAAAAGAAGCTGTGGGCCCTAAAGTAATCTCAGGAATGCCCAGCAACCTCTTGGCCTATGAACCCAAAAGACACCTCCCACATTATGCTAAGACTGATGTCCAAGGACCACCATTTATTACTGGCAGAGAACTGTGAAAATACTTCCTCCCCACTGTGCGGTGGGCTCTAACCTTTGAGCTGTGCCTGCCAATAAATATTCACCTATCTCAGACAGGAAAAAGCACCCTGTGTGGGGTGAAAGAACTGGGATCCGTGGCCAACCTGGGTCCCAGAAATGCCATGCAGTTTGCCTTGATGCTTGGGTTTGTGTTTTTCTATCCATTGTGAAAGACTGATTTACAAACTCTGGGTGGTTGTACAGGCTTGCTGGGCTCCTGCGGTCGTTGAATGCACAGAATTTCCACAGCAGCTTTGGACAGCTGACTCCGCTTTACTTTTGTTAACTGTTTCTAGACTTGGCCTCCACGCTGTGGCCTGCGAGGCTAACAAGTCTGAGAAGAAGCTTCAAGAAAGAATATGTGAATTAGAGTTCATCCATAAGCCAGGGGCCCGCAATCAGACTGTACTTTCAAGATACTGTCTCAGGGCCAGGCACGGTGGCTCATGCCTGTAATCCCAGTGTGTTGGGAGGCCAAGGCAGGCAGATCACTCAAGGTCAGTTCGAGAGCAGCCTGGCCAACATTATGAAACCCCATCTCTACTAAAAAAAAAAACAAAACTAAAAAAATTAGCTGAGGCAGGAGAAGCATTTGAACGCAGGAGGCAGAGATTGCAGTAAGCCAAGATTGCATCACTGCACTCCAGCCTGGGTGACAGAGTGAGACTCTGTCTCAAAAAAAAAAAAAAAAAAAAGGATACTGTCTCAGAGTTTGGGACTCAAGCCATTGACTTTCTAGTTGCTTGTTACTTTGGAAACCTTCTGGTGACCCAGCATCCTGGGACATTTCTTGGCCCACCTAATTTGACTTTCTGCTCAGGCTCTTATATGAAAACCAGGGCTTCTAATACCTGGCAAAAACACTTCACAGAGAACACCACATTTAGAAGACATCCCTGCATTAGTTTTCTATGGCTACTGTAACAAATTACCAGTTTTATATGGCTACTGTAACAAATTACCACCAACTTGGCAGCTTAAAACAACACAGACTTTTTACTTTACAGTTCTGTAGGTCAAAAATCCAATGCAGGTTTACCAGGCTAACATCAAGGTGCTGGCTAGATTGTGTTCCTTTCTGGGGCTCCAGGGAATTTGTTTCCTTGCCTTTTCTGGCTTCCAGAAACTACCTGCATTTCTTGGGTCATGACCCCTTTTCTCCATCTTCAAAGCCAGCAATGCTGTATGTCTTCAACTATTCATTCTTCCATAATTACATCTCCCTCTGACTCTGATTCCTCTTCTGCCTCTTGGTTCCACTTTTAAGGACACTTGTGATTACAATGAACCTACTTCAATAATCCAAGATAATCGCTTTATTTTTTATGCATTTATTTTTTGGGGAAGGGAAGTCTGGTTGAATAACTGCCTTATTTTAAGGTCAGCTAATTAGCAAATCTTAATTGCATCTGCAACCTTAATTTCCCTTTTGTCATGAAACCTAATATATTCATTAGGATATGAACATTTGTGGGAAGATCTTTATTCTGCCTACTGCAGTTCCCTTCTGAATTACTTTTGGACAATCAGAGGTAAATAAATGTAAAGACTTGCTGTGTCTGTCTTCCCAGCCAGACTGTGTTTGGGGAGGGTCAAGCCTTTTAATTTAGATTATATATATTTTTTTGAGATGGAGTTTCACTCTTATTGCCCAGGCTGGGGTGCAATGGCATGATCTCGGCTCACTGCAACCTCTGCCTCCCAGGTTCAAGTGATTTCTCCTGCCTCAGCCTCCCCAGTAGCTGGGATTACAGGCATGCACCACCACACTCGGCTAATTTTTTGTATTTTTAATAGAGATGGGGTTTCTCCGTGTTGGTCAGGCTGGTCTCCAACTCCTCACCTCAGGTGATCCACCCGCCTCAGCCTCCCAAAGTGCTGAGATTACAGGCATGAGCCACTGCGCCTGGCCGTAATGTAGATCACATCTTAAATGTGCAGTCTATAACTGATCCAGTCCTCCCCATGAGCTGAGCTGATGATGGTTGGGAGAATTTTTTTCTTTTTTTTTTTTTTGAAATGGAGTCTTGCTCTGTCACCCAGGCTGGAGTGCAGTGGAGCAATTTTGGCACACTGCAACCTCCGCCTCTCAGGTTCAAGCGATTCTACTGCCTCAGTCTCCCGAGTAGCTGGGATTACAGGCGCCCACCACTACGCCCAGCTAATTTTTTGTATTTTTAGTAGAGACAGGGTTTCACCGTGTTGGCCAGGCTGGTCTCAAACTCCTGACCTTGTGATTCGCCTGCCTCGGCCTCCCAAAGTGCTGGCATGAGCCACCGTGCCTGGCTGGTTGTGGGAATTTTTAACTGACAGTCCGATTTGAGGGTGTGGGAGACATGTGATGTTGCTATCCATGTAGAATCCTATTGTCTGGTGAATGATTTACTTGTTTAACTGATGCTTATAGAATGCTTATATGTAAGAACTTTACAAACTAATTTAATTATCATAACAACCTTATCATATATGTACAACTGTTATTATCATCCTCGTTTTACAGATAAGGAAACTGAGGCATAAAAAGATTAGTAACCTGTCCAAGGTCACATAGATAGTATGTGGCAGAGATGGGTCTTGCAGCCAGGCAGCCTGTGGATCATCCTGAATCCTTGTTCCTATGCCCCCATACCAAGCTGCCTTGTCCTCTTGGTTTCTGCTTACTCTTCAGGCCTCGCTGCTCTGGTAGGCAAACTTGCGGTCCATTCTTTCACAAAGCCGAACCTCTCCCTCCAACACTGGTTCCTCCCCCTTGCAACCTGATGCTCATGCTCATTTCTCCCTCTGTTCTCAGTGGTACAGACCCCTGACCTCCTCTGAGCTTGCTGTAAGGTCACCTTGCCCAATCAGGGCCGTCCCACACACAGCAGGCTGCTGGCTCCCAACATGATATCCATGCCATGCAAGAATCAGGGGGACTCAGGAGAGCTCAGCCTCACAGCTTCTCTCTGCCTGCTCAGGTTTTCTCACTGCCAGGTTCACTTTGGCATGGCTGCCCTGGTTGAGCATAAAACAGCCTTGGATACAAGTTCCTCCCAGAGTCTCTAGTGGGGAGCTGGGTGAGAGCCCCCTCTGTGTACGGAGTACCACTTATTAAGTAGTGCATCTGTCTAGACCCCATCCAAGACCTGGAGAAGAGGAACAAGCATGAGACCCTTCTGACCCTCTTCTCTCTCCTTACCCTTCCCACCCCCCAGCAGGCCAGAAAGGGAGTGAGGCTTTCTCTATCTTAGGTTCTCTCTATCTATCTTAGGGCTTTCTTTGTCTCTACATTAGAGTTGGCCTTGCTGTTCTGGTGGAAACGGCCTCTGCTCTGCTAAGAGAAGACTCCAGGAGCTAGTCATTCAGGCATGGCCTTTGCTTTACTAAGGAGGGAGAATCTGGAAGGATTTGGAAAATCTCTTAAATCATAGCTAACCCCTTCAGCTATACAGTGGGACACCAACACCCTGATGCCTGGCCTATCAAAGGCGTTCAGTGTGTGGTAGTTATTTATCACTTTATCTCTCTCTCTCTTGTTTTTTTTTTCCTTGAGATGTAGTCTTGCTCTTGTCACCCAGGCTGGAGTGCAATGGCGCGACCTCAGCTCACTGAAACCTCTGCCTCCCGGGTTCAAGCAATTCTCCTGCCTCAGCCTCCTGAACAGCTGGGATTATAGGCATGTGCCAATACGGCCAGCTAATTTTTGTATTTTTAGTAGAGACAGGGTTTCACCATGTTGGCCAGGCTGGTCTCCAACTCCTGACCTCAGGTGATCCACCCGCCTCGGCCTCCCAAAGTGTTGGGATTACAGGCGTGAGCCATCGCACCTGGCCTTATTTATCACTCTCTAAACCGAGAACTTTCACACTTCTTTGTCTGAATGTAGGAAATTTGTTTTACATTCTGACACTGCACGAATGTACATATATAGTACCTAACTGAAACAAATGCTACACAAAACAATACTTATTATTACTTGATGCAATACATCCAGTTAATTTTTAATATATTCTCTTTTTGTAAAAAGAAACACCCTGGTGGTGACCCATAACCCCTCTCCTCAGACTTACTTTCCCCCTTCTCTGAGATCTCATAGTGCTCTCTGCAAAGCTCAACTCAAATACTTCTCATACTGCATTGCAATGTATGTCATTCTCTCCCACTAGGGACTTTGTCCTTTTCATCTCTGCATCCCTAGCATACACAGTAATAGACACCCAGTGAGCATTAACTGAAGGAGTGAGTGGAAAACGCCTGTCTGGGCCGGGCGCAGTGGTCACGCCTGTAATCCCAGCACTTTGGGAGGCTGAGGTGGGCAGATCACCTGAGGTCAGGGGTTCAAGACCAGCCTGACCAACATGGTGAAACCCCGTCTCTACTAAAAATACAAAAATTAGCTGGGCGTAGTGGTGGGCACCTGCAATCCCAGTTACTGGGAAGTACCCAGATACTTCCCAGGCTGAGGAAGGAGAATTGCTTGAACTCAGGAGGCAGATGTTCCAGTGAGCTGAGATCATGCCATTGCACTCCAGCCTGGGCGACAGAGACTCCATCTCAAAAAAAAATAAAAAAAATAAAAAAATAAGACAATGCTTGTCTGTGTGCTCAACACAAAAGAAAAGGATGGTATTTCCCTCTATGGTGGCACACGATGCCTAGCGTGGTGTTGGAGAGCTCAGACCTTGGTGGTGAGCAACCTGGGCTCAGGGAGGAGTATATACACCTCCTGCAGAGAAGACTTAAATGCATAAAGAATTAGGACCAGCGACTTTAACCATTTCCCCCTCCTTGGTTTTTTTCCCTGAAACGATGTGCTTGCATCCCCATGCTAGAATGCCTTTCTGTCCTTCGCAGTAAATTAATTATATAAAACTGACTGTGCAGACTCAAAATTTGGGGCATTTGGCATTCTTGCAAAGCCAGACTCTAGGAAACATGCCCATTGCTGAACACATTGGATGTGGTTTAGGTAGCAAAGCAAATGACCTAACAAGGAATATATGTGCTGAGCCTAGTTCCTGTTAAATTAATAGATTCACGTTCTGGCACATCCACAACCTCACAAGTCATAGCAACCGGATGACGGCATGGCAACACAGCAGCTGCGGCCACTGCACATGAGAAAAATCAGAGCCTAGTGTCTCTGGAGGGAAAACAGAAACGGCCTCTACAATTGCTGGCTTGTACTGGATTGACTGAAGGGAGGGAGCCGTGGGGGCAATCACAAGTAGATTCCTGCCCTGGTCAGGGATGGAGTATGACATCTCTCCTGCTTCCTGAAACTTTGTTTTATATTTTAAAAGTAAATAATTTGTTCCAGCCAGAGAGGAAATGATGCTGAGAGAAAGACACCATCACGTGGACAGAATGTTCTCCCTCGCCCTGGCAGCAGTGTGGAGGTAATCCTTATCAGAGATAGTCCACGACTTGCTCTTCAACAGCAGGACCACAAGCCTTTCTTCCTAGTTTTTTGACCCTCCACCCCAACCAAAATCGCCTACCCCTTCTGGCTGCCAGGGTTGAAGGCCCTTCTTGCCAACTCTCCTTCTAGGACAAAGCCCTGACTCCACAGCCACTGTTTGGGCCAAGCCCTCAGGGATCAGGGTAAATGCCTGGAGGAGGAGGAAGAGGATGCCTGGACAGATGTCAATTCTGGTGACACAAAGACATCTGTATGTGCTGTCAGGTAGGTGACACCCAATACCAGGGCTGCCTGGGACCAAGCAGGAGTCCACACCCCCGACCTAGTTTAAATTCAAGAATGACCCTCGCTCTGCAAAAGGACTGAGAGCTCGGCCTTCTGTTCTTGGGGTTTGTGTTATGCTTAGATCTGGCTCTGGCCCCTGCTTTCCTTTCCATGTTCTATCAGGAAGGCTGTGCAGGGTTGTCACTGGGTCCCCAATGATTCTCTACTGGTCTCTGTTATTTGTGGCCATGTAATGAATTCCTCAAAACACAGCAGCTTAAGACAACATTTATTATCTTATAGTTTCTGTGGGTCAGGAATCCAGGCAGCTTAGCTGGGTGCCTCTGCCTGAAGGGCCCGAGGGAGGCCCTTCAGCTGTTGGCTGGGGTTGAAGGTCTTATCTGAAGTCTTGATTAACATGGGGGGAAGGAGAGGCATCCCTTTCCAAGCTCCCTCAAACGGTGGTTGGCAGGCCTAGCTCCCTTTCTACCAGGCTGCCTTAGGACGTGGCAGTTGGCTTCCCCCACAGTGAGTGTTCCCAGAGAGTGAAAGGCATAGAGAGGACCCAGTATGGAAGCCGCATTTTTTTTTTTTATAACCTAGTCTCAGAAGTAAGATCACATCACTGGCCATATTCTATTTGTCAGAACTCAGTCAATGGATTCAGCTTACACTTAAGGAGGGAGGATTATACAAGGGTATGAATACCTGGAGGCAGAGATCATTGGCAGGGGGCGCATCTTAGAGGCTGTCTACCACATCCTCCACTTGGTGCCCTGGTACTCCAGCAACTGCCACCTTACATAGAGAAAAAAGCAATGTATGTGTAAGTGTCAGGCCTTCACACATTTACACTGTCTGCTAATTACTCCTGGGCATGCAGAAATACTGAATATTCATGAAATTGTGACTGAAAATTTGGAATTGCATATGGAACAAAAAAAATATTCAGCTCTTGTTTTAGCAAATATGGAGTATCACATGATTGCCTTTAGAAGCCTGGCTAACATATTCTCTCATTGGTTGCCTTAAGCAGAATGCACTAAGGAATTACTTCTATTTATTCCAAAATTGAAATGGGCAATCCCTTCACCATCTCCCCACAATAGCGTGATGTAAGAAGAATTTCAGGGAACTTTAATTATTGAGTCTAATGATGCAGTTATTTCTCAAAGCAGTATTATTTTTCTTGCATTGCACATTTTGTATTTATAATGTGCCATTAATGTCTTAGTAAAAATCAGAACTAGGGCGTAGCAGCTGCAACGTGGAGGATTTCATGTTGCTAGGAGAGCTTCGATCTTCATACGCCTATCTTTGGGTGAGTCTGTGGCTTTCCATGAGAGATTAACACAGACCTGGGGATCATTTCCCAAATGTCATTTTCCATCAGTCTTACATCCACCTTTCTGAACAAAGCCTTCACTCAAGTTTATGGTTTCCTGTGTTTTCATAAAAAGATGAAGCATTGAAAGGGGGGAGGTTTTATCTGGCCAATGTGCTAGGAGAAGCAGTATTTGGGGAAAAAAGGAAAATTGTTGAGCCCTAACTGATGCTTTTGAACCACCTATTAAAAGGTCCCTGTTTTCCACGACAAGCTACAATGAAGCTAATGTTTCTGTTATGAAAGCCCTTCACTGCAGTTTCGAATGTCTTTTTTTTTTTTTTTCACCAGCAAAGGCTAACCCCGTTTTTTCTCCAGCCTTATGAGATCAGGAGTTCTTCCTTGAAGACTGCTGTTTAACGACTTGGTTGCTACTTATCTTAAAGGTGGCTTTCCGTTGTACTTTTTAATAAGGTGAGCACATTTATTTTGAGCAATGATAAATTTCAGGATTACTATTGCCTGAAGCTGCCCTTCTCAGGCCTCCACCCTACCCTCAAAGTCACTTTTGACCGGTGATGAAACACAGAATGCATCAGACTCTATTTTCTGTGAGTTGAGTGTAAAGAGGTGGAAATCGCGGGGGAGGATTAGAACAGAAACCATTCTGCAGCCCCAGCTTGGGCGTTGAAATAGCCCCCAGAAGTGTGATACGTGGTAAACGTCTTGCTCACTTATAACCCGTAGAAATGACGAGGGACATCATGCAGACTTTTAGAGAGAACGTGGGGACAGGGACCCTTGTTTTAAGGCCCACTTTAGGCATTAAGAACACATAGAGCACACTGCTTTCTGACATGACCCTTTTAGCCCCAACACCAAACGGAAAAACTTTTTCTTTCCCCTCCCCCACCGCTTTGTTTGTGTACTGGTGTTTACCCTGGAACCCCAGCTTTCCGGGGACCCTGAACCCCACCACCACCTTCCAGACCAGCCTGAGAGCAGGGGACTCCAGCGCGGGGCCCCGGATCGCACTTCGGCGCGGAAACGACGCGGCTGGAGCGAGGCTTCCCTCCCAGGGCGGGGGGTGCAGGCTAGGCGGCCGGCAGCGCAGGGCTGCCCGCTACCCCGCAGCCGAGGGCGCGCAGAGTGGGGAGACGGCGCCTGGGGCCAGGGGCGCGCGGAGCCGGGGGCGCGGGCGGGGCGGCTGGCTGCAGGGCCCTGCGCGCCACCGCGCGAGCCGCTGGGTCACAGCCCGGGCCGCACAGCCCGGGCCGCACCGCCCGCTCCGCGAGGAAGTGACGACTGCGCCGTCCCGAGAGCAACAAAGTTAGAGTCTGCGGGCCGCACTCGCCTGCGCCCCGCACCCCTCCGAGCAGCCCGGGGATCCAGCACGCAGGTAAGCCGCGGGCTCGGCGCCCCCTCCCGCCACCGGGCGCCGGCGTGGGGCTCGGAATCGTTCCGGGGCTCGGGCTGGGCCGCGCGGGCGCGGATGTGGCGGGCCGGGTTGGGCCGGGCGCTGGGGTGCCGGGGTGCTGCAGGGAGGGAGCTCGGCGGCCGGGGTCGGGGCGCCGGGCTGCGCCGGTGTTGTCGCCGCTTTGCCGCGGGACTTCAAACAGCAAGGGCTGCAGCGGGGCCAGCTCCAGGCGCCGTTGGCCTGAGGTAGGGTGGGGGGAAGGGGCTTTCCGGGGCCTACGTCTGCAGCCAGCCCTCCGCCCAGCGCCTCCATCCCTGCAGGCTGGGCGCAGCTCTCGGCCCCTGCCCGGTGCTTCCCTGGGAAATGACCTCTTCCTCTTCGCAGCCCTTGTCGAGGGCGCAGGAAGGAAGTTAAAGGAACTTTCCCCGGACTTTTATTTGCTTGGCCTTCCTGGGACGAAGAGCAGAGTAGCTCGGAAGTTTGGGAAAACAACCCTACGCATTTTCAGAAAACCAAACCGGAATTGTCCCCAAGCCCCCTTGAAATGAATCGCTCCTGACTCCCCCTTTACCCTTCCCAACCATGTCCCAAACCTGACAGTGATCGCTAAGGCCTAACACTTTGCAATTTAGCCATAAAAACTGTCAGCACACCCACGTACATATGTGAGTGTTTTCTATATAAAACTCAGAAACCCGCTTCCAGCGGACTCTGTGGCATCTCGTTCTTTTCTGTTTCCTAAAACTGCAAGGGCTGCAGGAATGTGCTGCAGGAACTTTGACGGTGGTTCCCGTCGCCCTCGGTAGCCTCGTGGCGCAGGGTTTTTTAAAGAACAGCTGAGAAGTTTGGGACATTCCTGCAGAGTAACTAGGGGCTGGCGGCCCGGGCCAGTGGCGAGACTGCAACTGTAGCGGCGGCGGCGGGGACACGTTGGTGTGTGCAGGAAAGTGCGTCCGAGCCGTGGAGACTCGAGATGGGGTGTCCTAGAGGTTGAATGGTGCAGTTCCTAGCAGCAGCTTCCTGCCGGCCTGTAATTACAGCGTGATTGCACAGTCAGGCATTGTTGGCGTGGATGTTTATACACAGGCTATTGTGCAAGACCTCGGTAGTGGCGAAGAAAACGCAGCTTTGCACTGCAAATGCCCAGGATAGATCTGGGTCTGAGCTGCAGTCTCCAAATTCTTTTTGCCCTTTAACCCTAGCTAGGTGATTTATTTCATTACCTCCCTCTCACTTTTGACGACTTGTCCAAAGCCTGAGATGTGGGGTGGACTCGGGAGGCCACTGCACTCCTATCTTAGGCAGCCTGAAAACTATCCCAGGAACTCTACCCTTATTTGTCTCCGGAGAAAATGTGGGATGACGTCAGTAGGAAAAGGAGATGGGAGATGGCTATCAACCTCTCTAAACGGGAAAGCTGTTTGAATTAGCAAAATTGCACGGGTGGCTGGGTTGGGGCTGAGTTGCAAAGAGGACTCGTCAGACCATGTGTGACTGAGCTGGCGTGCTAGACTTTAAGCCTGGAAGTGTCAGCTGCAGAAACTTAGTAGGTGGTAGGTCCTAATTCCTTTATTGTGCTGGGCAAAGAGGAAACGTGCAAGTGGTAGCACTTTTGTCTGTGCTGGTGGTCTGGGTCTGGGAGGGGCAGAGGAGTGACTCCTCCTTCTCCATAGGAACCCTAGGCCCACTTTCTTAGCAGGGACTGTGGCACAGACCAGAGCAGGGATCCTCCCATTTGCCATGCTGCCTTGCAGGAAGGGAGCCAAGCCTGCAAGTATGGAAAGAAGGCAAACAGTGTCTTGTTGAGGGCCTTACAGGGGTATAATTGTATAGAGAGATTTAAAACACAGTAAAAAAGGCGTGTATTGGATTTGTGCAGGGCCATCGTTTTCACATTCTAAATCTCAACCTGATAACTCCCTGTCCTAGGCAGAAGACGCTCATGGGGAGCACTCAGCCCAGCTACGTTGCTGTGTGGCTAGGTGGTACCACCTTATGCTGGGCATGGGCAGCCTCTCTGCTCAGAGTGGCAGGTACTGATGATTCCAGTGCACTGGAGTTTCTCCAATGCCTGGCCTTTCCAGCCAAGTATCTGAGCTTCACCTGGAGGAAAAATGCTGTTTTGCAGCCTTGTGCCAGGTGTGTGTCATGGGCACAGTGACCGTTTGTCAAACCAAAAGATTAGGGCACAGTCCCTGGCAGGTACCTGTGTGCTTCCAGAAACTCGAGGACAAACATGTAAAATCAGGACAGTTCTGGAAAGTCTGGCATGTATGGTTACAGTTGCCACAGGGGAATGAGGTTTGAGCAAAAGCAGCACTATGGTAGGAGTCACCACAGGTTGCACAACCCTCTTTTCTAGAGACATTTGGTTTTTACTGATCTTGACTGTGAAGGTCCTGGTTAGCTGGATCACCTGACCAGGACTGCCATAATGAAGGCCTGCTGGTGCCTGGCTGTAGTCTTGAGGGGCAGGAGAAGGGATCGTTCCCTTCTGATCCCAAAGCTTTGAGTTTGCAGTGCTTTGTGTTCGTGTAGAATTTACAGAGACTAAAAGTGCCCCAAAAGCCCTCCAGAGTGTAGCTGGGAGAGTGGAGGGGAGGGGCCTCTTGTAAAGGCCAGAGAAAGAAGGAAGCCAGGCTCCAGGGAGCTGCGGGAGCCACATGCAGGCCCCTCACCTTCAGTTCCCAATGGCAGATTTTTGTGCATAACTCAGGCCCTTTCCCTGGCTTGCTCAGCTTTGCCTCTGCATTCAGGGAGCTTGCCCCGAAGTTGTTACACAGAGACAGAATCATAACCCTGACTTCCTCCTTCACCTTACCTAAATGGTGGTTTTAACTTGAAGTTGCTGCCTAGTTCACGGCTCCTGAGCAGCCCTGGCTGCTGCCTCGCCATGCACAATTAGGAACAACAGTGAAAAAGCGCTGATTCAAAACTTGACAAGAGATTTTAAAACCAGTTTTATTGTTCTAAGAGGAAAAAATATTGGAGGTAATTAGGCAACCCAGCAACTCTGGCGGAAACCCCGAGGTGCCACTGAGAGAAGCCAATGCAGGAGTCTCCTGGAGAGGGTGGTCTTCAAAGGGAGGCTGCCCAGGCCCAGTATTGCTATTTCCATTAATCTGCCCCTTCCTAGCTGCCCCACTTCCTATACCACAACCCAGTGTTTTGACATCACAACCCACCTCCAAAAAAGGAGGCCGAACACCCCCAGCTAAAGAGGGCATTCTAGTCGCTTAAGAACACGCTACAGTTTTCCAGACACCACGGCTGGCAGTTCTGTCCTGCAGATTTGTTTCCTTCTTTAAAATGTGCCCCTCTTCATTTCTTGTTCTCACTGAAGCATCTCTTTGTGAGCCCCTTAAACCTTCTTCTTTCTCGTCTGCATGACACAGGGCAAACGCTTTACGACTTTCTGTCTCAAGTGCCACTTGAAATACACACAGGGCTTTGAATAAGCTTCGGATAAAGGCCTGCTCTGTAATCTCACTTAAAATGCCTCTTTGCAAGGGTCACCTTCCTGCTCAGCAACCTTCAATGGCTCCCCACTGTCTGCATGGTAAGGATCAAACTTCTAGGCCGGCAGTTAGGGCCCTTCTCCACAGGGGTCTGACCTTTGCTCCTCTCCCGTCCTAACCCTCGGCTCTGACCCGGTGACCCACTCTGTGTGTTTGTCCAAACCACTGATGGCAAGAATTCCTACCTCCCATGCTTCCCCAGAGGACTGGAATGCCTCTTTCCTCTCATCCGCTTGGCTCAGTCCTGCTCCCCTTCCAGTCCTGTTTGTGTCCTCCTCCTTGAGAATTTCTCCCTGTCCCACCCTGTGGGCCTCCCCCGGGACTCCAGCAACATCACCCTGGGCCCTGTGCTGAGGAAAACCTTGAGTCCTGGTCTAAGAATTTTCACTTTCTCTTTTGGGCCATGACTTTGATCATATCCCCTGTTCAGCAAATTAAATGAGCCTTTGGGTGAATAAATACTACAATTCTTCAACTAAACTGGAAGCCCTGTTTTATATATCTTTGTATCCCCAGGTCTGGTGCCCCACTCATAGCAAGTCTCAATAAATGTTTTGTGATGCTGATACAAAGAGCAGTGGCCATCAGATTTCGTCCACTTGGACACCCAAGCCAAGCACCAAAGGCCGTGGTTCCTGGTCTCAATTCTGAGCATTAAGCCAAGCCTGCCTCCTCTGCCTGTTAGCTGCCCTCAGGCTCCTCCTGGCTTTGCACCTCATTGTTTTGCTCCATTTCCAGCATCTCTTTCCTGACTGTCAGTATCTTCCCAGCTTTGGCCCTGGCTCCTTTTGTCCCAGTCAGCCTGCCCTGTGATGCCCTACACCTCTGCTCTGGCTCTGAGGTGAGATAGTTTGTTACTTGGGTTGGCCTGACCTTCTGAGGAACCAATCTGATAGAAGGAGGTAGGACCAACTTGCAGGCAAGACTTGTGAAGACAGCCAGGTGCGGTGGCTTATGCCAATAATCCCAGCACTTTGGGAGGCTGAGGCGGAAGGATCACTTGAGCCTAGAAGTTCAAGACCAGCCTAGGCAATGTGGCAAGACCCCTTCTCTGTAAAAAAATGCAAAAAATTAGTCAGGCACGGTGGCACGTGCCTGTAGTCCCAGTTACTTGGGAGGCTGAGGTAGGAGGATTGCATGCCACTGCACTCCAGCTTGGGTGACAGAGATTCTCTCTCTCTCTTCATATATCTATATATATATATAGACTGTGAGGAGGGCAAAGTGAGGCTTCCTGGTTGGCCGCATGCTTGTTTTGCCCAAATAGGTGTTGAACTTACAAAACCAGGCTAAACTATAAAACTGAGTTTTGGGGAGATCCTGGCTGAACCCTAGCATTGGACTTGGCTAGGAGGACTGTGTTGCCTTTAGCCAGTCCTCATGCTGTTAATCACAACCTTGCCTCATAAGCCAGATTCTTTCTTTTTTGAAAAATAATTCACATACTATAAAATGCACGTATAAGCTAGATTCTTTTAACGTTTTGTTTTATTTAAAAATAGAATCTGGTAGATTCCTGTTTTTTACTCTACCCAGGCTGGAGTGAAGTGGTGTGATCTTGGCTCACTGCAACCTCCGCACCCCAGGTTCAAGCGATTCTCCTGCCTCAGCTTCCTGAGTAGCTGGGATTATGGATGTCTGCCACCACGCCCGTCTAATTTTTGTGTTTTTAGTAAAGACAAGGTTTCCCCATGTTGGCCAGGCTGGTCTTGAACCCTTGACTTCGGGTGATCCACCCGCCTTGGCCTCCCTAACCTCAAAAAGTGTTGAGATTACAGGCGTGCGCCACCGTGTCTGGCCTGAAGTCAGTTTTTTTTTTTTTTTTTTTTTTGAGACAGAGTTTCGCTCTTGTTGCCCAGGCTGGAGTGCAATGGCACGATCTTGGCTCACCATAATCTCTGCCTGCCGGGTTCAAGTGATTCTACTACCTCGGCCTCCCGAGTAGCTGGGATTACAGGCATGCGCCACCACACCTGGCTAATTTTGTATTTTTAGTAGAGACAGGGTTTCTCCATGTTGGTCAGGCTGGTCTCGAACTCCCAACTTCAGGTGATCTGCCCTCCTCCGCCTCCCAAAGTGCTGGGATTACAGGCATGAGCCACCGCGGCTGGCCTGAAGTCAGTTTTAATTGAAAGTTCTTAATAAACATAAAAGGGTGAAACTGGGATTTACATATTTCTGAAAAGTTATGTATAAACTGAGTTTAATAAATCAACATTTTTTCAGATGTGCTATTTTACAAAATAATCAACTTTTAGAATTGGATAGGATCTTACGGACTGTTATCATCCAGCCCCAGTTTTATAGTAACTGTAGTAACAGCATCTCCGATAATCCCATGGTTAAGGATTTAAAGCTTGGAAGGAAACCTGTGCTAACTCTCATTTTAACTGAGGCTTAGAGAGGATAAGTTCCTTCTCCAAGTTCCCACAGCTGTTGAATGGAAGAGTCAGGCACAAACCCCATTCTCCATTTCCACTGGCCATCCTGCATTGATAATTAGTCATCATAATCGTCAGTTTCAGCAGGTCTATTTGTAAACCAAGGACTCCATCTTCTCAGTTTCCCTAAGGCAGTACTCAAAGATTTAAAAAGGTGAAACTTAACAACAACAACAACAACAAAAAAACAAAAAAAACTAGGGGTGAAGAAGAGGTCTTTAAGAAGAGAGTGGGATGCGTATTTAATAGCTTTTACCATTGTATTATCTCATTGTAGTCTTAGTGGATCTTAATTGCTATCAAAGCCCCCAAAGTTTCCTACCCAGGCTCAGTTGGCCAACAAGATTACTTACTGTTTTCTAAGTGCAGAACATGGGTTAAACAACACCAAGAAGACAGAGGAATGCTCCCAGTTCCCAAGACACAGGCAGGAGAAGGCCCAGGAACACAGGCATGGCACTCTTTGAACAGCCAGTTAATGCAGGGCCAACTGTCCTCACCGGCCATTTGTGGAACAGCTGCAGTGCTGTCAACCATGTGAGTGTGGAAAGCAGAGTGCCACATGCTCCTTACCCCCAGGAGGCTTCAAGCCTAGCTCCTGAGATAGGTCATACCCATGCATGAGTGAGTGAAAGAATGAAGAACCCGAGGAATAGTCCCTTATAAACCATGACGGGGAAGGTCACTACTGTTACGGCTATGGCCACTTTTCTTTTTCTCCATAACTGGGGAAGTCAGATCCTAAATGCTTGTGGTCAGCACAGCTTCCATGGAGAGATGGTGGAAGAAATCCTGACCCTTTCCATCACCTCTAGAGCAAGTGGAAGAGGGTGGGATGGGGGAAGAACTGAGAGTGGATCTGTCACTGGGAGAGTATAATTTGATGGAGTGGCGTTTTCTGAGGTTCAGATTCTAAAGTCAGTGTGTAATATGAAATATAAAAATATAATCGGCCGGGCGCGGTGGCTCACGCCTGTAATCGCAGCACTTTGGGAGGCCGAGGCTGGTGGATCATGAGGTCGGGAGATGGAGACCATCCTGGCTAACACGGTGAAACCCCATCTCTACTAAAAAATACAAAAAAATTAGCTGGGCGTGGTGGCAGGCACCTGTAGTCCCAGCTACTCGGGAGGCTGAGTCGGGAGAATGGTGTGAACCCGGGAGGAGGAGCTTGCAGTGAGCTGAGATGGTGCCACTGCACTCCAGCCTGGGCAACAGAGCAAGACTCTGTCTCAAAAAAAAATAATAGGCCGGGCGCGGTGGCTCACGCCTGTAATCCCAGCACTTTGGAAGGCCGAGGCGGGTGGATCATGAGGTCAGGAGATCGAGACCATCCTGGCTAACAAGGTGAAACCCCGTCTCTACTAAAAATACAAAAAATTAGCCGGGCGCGGTGGCGGGCGCCTGTAGTCCCAGCTACTCGGGAGGCTGAGGCAGGAGAATGGCGTGAACCCGGGAAGCGGAGCTTGCAGTGAGCCGAGATTGCGCCACTGCAGTCCGCAGTCCAGCCTGGGCGACAGAGCGAGACTCCGTCTCAAAAAAAAAAAAAAATAATAATAATAATAATAAACAAATTAAAAAAAAATAAAAGAATGTAATCAAGATTAACCTTGATTATATATTAGGAGGGCACCAGGTAGGCAACAGACACACTGGCTCTTGATGCGTCAATTCACCTTAGCCTGCTCCTTTAGTTCTGGAAGAAGTTGCACTTTTTTTTTTTTTTTTTTGAGATGGAATCGTGCTCTGTCGTCCAGGCTGGAGTGCAGTGGTGCAATCTAGGCTCACTGCAACCTCCGTCTCCCGGGTTCAAGTGATTCTCCTCCCTCACCCTCCTGAGTAGCTGGGACTACAGGCACCCGCCACCACACCCGGCTAATTTTTTAATTGTTTTATTTTTAGTAGACACAGGGTTTCACCATGTTGGCCAGGCTGGTCTCGAACTCCTAACCTCAAGTACTCCACCTGCCTCAGCCTCCCAAAGAGCTGGGATTACAGGCATGCGCCAACCATGCCCGGCTATTTCTTCTTGTTCTATTTTGTTTTTTTGTTTGTTTGTTTTCCTTTTCCTCCTACCTCCCTAACTTCCTCCTTCCTCCTGTCTTCCTTTGTCTTCTGTCTTCTGCTAAGCTTGACCATTTGAATTTGCATAAGTTAAATGAACATGTGAACAGATTCCATTGTCCTGTGTCTCATGAGAAGGTCATGGGTGCTGTAAGTTAGGAAATCATCATATGAGATTAAGCATGAAAGGCTCTTAGACTAAATGGGCAGAGTGCGATGGAGAGGAGATCCATGGAGTAGGTTTTAAACTGCAGTTATATCATCCAGGATTGCAGATGAAAAACTTGTGCTTGGGTTGACCCAGCCCTGGTGTGGGGCTGGGAGAGGGCAGTGCCCATGTGCAGCAGACACTTTACAGTAAGGGCCTAGCCCTCCATGTCCCCTCCTCAGCCTCCCCATTGCAGGCCACTATAAGAAGCTTGCAAGGAATCGACCAGCAAGATGTGTCTGCTTCCTCTGTGGCCTCCCCATAGCACATGCTCTGGAACAACTTAGAAGCCAATAGCCACTCGGTGACCCCCTCTTCCACTTGCACTAGAGGTGGTGGAAAGGCTCAACAAGATTTCTTCTACCATCTCTCCAAGGAGGCTGTGCTGACACGTGGCATTTAGGATCTGACTTCTCCAGTTATGGAGGAAAAGAAAAGTAGCTGTAACCACAACAGTCGTGACCTTCCCCATCACGTTTTTTTTTTTTTTGAGACAGAGTCTCGCTCTGTCGCCCAGGCTGGAGTGCAGTGGCGCAATCTCAGCTCACTGCAACCTCCGCCTCCCAGGTTCAAGTGATTCTCCTGTTCTCCTGCCTCAGCCTCCAGAGTAGCTGGGATTACAGGTGTGTGCTGCCGCACCCGGCTAATTTTTGTATTTTTAGTAGAAACGGGGTTGCACTATGTTGGCCAGGCTGCTCCTGAACTCCTGACCTCAGGTGATCCACCTGCCTCGGCCTCCCAAAGTGCTGGGATTACAGGTGTGAGCCACCACGCCTGGCCCCTATCATGGTTTATAAGGTGCGTTCTGTCAGGTTCTTCATTCTTTCACTCACTCATGCATTTATTGAGCCCTTACTGTGTACTTGGCTCTGTGCTTGGTACTGGGGATACAAAGATAAAGAAGCTTCAGGTCCCCACTTTAAGGTGCTCATGGTCTGTGAGGGAGACAAACATCTACAAAAGTCAAGAGCAGTTAAGCTCTGCAGGTATCAATGTCAAGGTGTTCAGGGGGCTCCTGCGCTCAGAGGAGAGGACTGGCCACTTCTACCACGGCCAGGAGAGAGAGGCATGTCAGGAAAGGTTTAGGAAAACCCCAGTGCCTTGCACAGTACTTGTGCCTGGTGAGTGCTGTGGAATTAACGAATGAGAGGCGTCCTGGAGAAGCTGTTTGAGCTGAGTGCTGAGAAACGAGTAGGCATCCACCAGGTGGCAAAAGGAGTCAGGGCATTCTAGGTACAGGGAGCAGCTCAGACAAGGCCTGGAGGCACAACATGACACCATTTGCTCTGGGGACTGCAAGTGGTGGGGCAGTGGAGCACGGCTGAGAGGGGTGCAGAAAGGGGCAGGCAGGGCCGGGCCATGGGCCAGAGGAGCCCGTGTGCAGGTAGAAGGAGATGCTGGCATAGCTCAGGTCTTAGGTTGGCCCACAGCAGAAGCTAACTGTAGCTAAATTGAGGAGAAAAGAAATGTATTGGAAGGCTATCTGGTGGCTCACTGAATGTCCGAGAAGGTTGGAGAATGAGGCTCAGAAATTGATCAGGACTTGTGGAAAGTTGGGTGGCTGGAACCAAAGCCATGGTGACGATGCTGCTGACCTGGCATCACTGCTGCCAGCAGACCTGGATGCTGCCACCCCTTCCAGAATGGGTACTGAACTCTCCCCACTTTTTTGTGCCACTCGCTCCAGAGGCAAAGGCTAGGCTGCGCATGTGGTTGGCCCTGCTTAGGTCATGTTCTTGCTGTTATGGTTCTGAACTTTTATTTATTTATTTATTTATTTTTTTTGAGACAGTCTTGCTCTGTTGCCCAGGCTGGAGTGCAGTGGCGTGATCTCGGCTCACTGCAACCTCCGCCTCCCGGGTTCAAACTATTCTGTGCCTCAGCGTCCCGAGTAGCTGGGACTACAGGCACCCGCCACCACGCCAGGCTAATGTTTGTGTTTTTAGTAGAGATGGGGTTTCACCGTCTTGGCCAGGCTGGTCTTGAACTCCTGACCTTGTGATCCACCCGCCTCGGCCTCCCAAAGTGCAGGGGTTACAGGCGTGAGCCTGAGGCTGATGTTACGGTTCTGAAGAGCAAGGCTCTGGAGGCTGCAGCCTCCCCAGCAGAGTGGAACTCTGCCTCCTCTCAGGACTCACAACCACAGGTGCCTGAAACCAGGGGAGGGCTGCATATGCCAGGTGGACAGGTGTCTCTCATAGAGCTTGGAGCCCATTCTAGCCTTCAAACTGGGATGATGGGGCTGTTCTGGATGTGGGAAGAGGAGACAGGGCATCCCTCTTGGGCCACTGAAAACATCCACATCTTTTTTTTTTTTTTTTTTGTAATTTAAACAGAGATGGGGTTTTGCCATGTTGCCCAGGCTGGTCTTGAATTCCCGGGCTTAAGCCAGCCTCCCACCCTGGCCTCCCAAAATGTTGGGATGACAGGCATGAGCCACCATACCTGGCCAACATCCACATCTTGAGCTTAATCTGTTTGGACATCCTTCTGAATCCTTAGCCTCCCGCTGAGCTTTAGGAATGTTATGTGCCCAGAAGATCTGAGTGTTTCATTAGTAATTGGAATTCTCCTCTGGAATCTGACCATCCCAGTGGAAAAGGGAGATCATCCCGGCATCTGGATCCTCCCTGCACATTTGATTCCACTTGGAAAACTTTGGTGCTGCCTTTCGAGGACAGAGGCCGAGGGTTGGCTCTCTCCAACAGGCAGTTACAGCTTGAATTCTGCTTCTTCCCCAAGGTTGGGTGAGACTCTTGGGGCCACAGGGTGTTTGCGAGGTGCCACTTTGCTTTTCAGACTAGAAGTTGGAGTTCTGGTTTCAGGCTTGGTTTGTGGAACAGTTGAGGCGCCTGGTGTCTAAGCTGCCCAGGTGATCTCTCCAGTTCTAAAGATGTCACCCTGGTTGAGATGTTCTACCCTATCTCCTTTCTGAGAGCGCTAAAGGAGCTACAGCTTTGTTTGCCTGGGGCTGTCAGCATCACCTGTCACATCCTGCCCAGTTTCCTCATCCAGAAAAAACAAGAGGTGTCAGATAAGGTGAGCTCCAGCTCCCGTCTTGCCCTCAGATCTTCTGGGTATAACTCTTTGAAGCAAGGGCACCTTGACTGGAATCTTGGTCATTCAGTTCCATTAATCTTAGACAAAGGAATTAATTTTCCTTAAAAGGAAAAATGCAGTTTTGAACTTACTGGCTGTTTTATGCCAGTGTTCCAAGACTTCCCTGGGAAAGCGGGAAGCTGCTGCCCCCAGGAAGCTGGGAGTGTCATGAGCTGGGCTCTGGACTGGAAGCGATTCCTGATCCTGAGGCTTGGATCGCTTAGATGCATGGCCTGGTTGGCTCCCCGAGGGAGGGAGCAGGGGCCTTCCTAGTTCCTGGCCAGTGTTGGTTCTGGCCTAGTTTACACTGAACTTGCCTACTTTTGTCCAGATGAAATGAAATTGTGCTAAAAGCAGCATTAAAGTGGAAAAGAAGTCTTGAAGAACCTGAATTATTTTACTAAAACACAGCTTTGGTCATATCACCCCCTCTTAATCTTTGAGAACTGCCCAAGTTCTGCAGAAGGAGCTCCACACTCCTCAGAATGGCACATGTACTCTTGTTTGAGCCCTGGCCCACCTTTCTGGCCTTTTTCTTACCACTACCCCTTCCCTAGCATGGCCCTTTTTGTTCCAGCCGGCCTCTTGCTGCTCCTGGACGCACTTCTCTCGCCTTGTTATATGCTCTTGGCCTTTGCTTATTGTTGTCTCTTCCATCTGGAATGCCCTCTCTGGCCTTTTCCTCCTGGCAGATGCCCACAGGGCCAGCCAGGAGTCACCTGCTCCATGCTGCCTTCCTGAGTTGCCACCATGGCATTTCTGCAATTGAACTTCCCCCCTGCAGGATGCTGGGGTCAGTTGCAGGAGTGCCTGGCTCCCCACCACCTTGGATCTGTGGCTGGCACACAGTAGGTGCTCTGTGACAGGAACGAGAAGGGCCACCTGAGGGGCTGTGAGGGAGCATCGGGCAGGCCCAGGACCTGGCCTATGTCTGGTGGACTGTGTGCTTGGTGAGCTGGCTGTCTGCATGACATCCCCAGCCTCCCTTAGTGCTTGCTGGTGGGGCTGCCACCTTGGTGTCTCTGCTATTTGCTTGGGCCTGTCAGCAAGACCCTGGTGAGAGTAGGAAGGGGATTTGGGGGTATAAAACCTGTATCGGGGCCCCACTCACCCTGAGGAAGCCTTTGAGGGGACACTGAGGAGATGTCTGTGGTGAGGAGCTGGTTTAGAGGTGGCAGAAGCATCTCTTCCTACTGGCCCTCCTTGAAGAAGGATAAATATTAATACCAGCTGCCATTAGAGGATCCTTTCGTTTCTCATGCTCAGCACTGTCTTTTGGCTTCACACAGAGACAGAGCTGGGGAAAGCAAGTCTGCAGACCATAGTAGCAGAGACTGGGGCTCTTTAAAATGAAAGTCCTGTCCCACCTGGTCATGAGGCAGTCAGGACAGGCTGTGGCACTTCCTGTTCCTGCGAGGAAGAATGCATCCTCCTGACAGTAATTGCAGGGTGCAGTGGGAGCCCCAAAGCAGGGATTGCAGTCTCCGTTTGTCTATGAAATGAGGGGATTAGACTACAGGGGTACCTTTCCTGTTCGAAAATTCCTGTGAATGGAGCCTGGCAGGCGGTGTCTTTATGGTGCCTCATAGTGGGACCCAGGGTTGTCACTCAGAGGCTTCCTGTCATTATCCCAGGTCTGCGTGCCACTCAGAGAGACCTGTGGAGGAGTGGCTTTCTCGCCATGGCTGATTAGTTGGACTTGCTTTTCTTTTTTCTTTTTTTTTTTTTTTTTGAGATTCAGTCTCACCCTGTCACCTAGGCTGGAGTGCAGTGGTGTGATATCAGCTCACTGCAGCCTCTGCCTCCCAGGTTCAAGTGATTGTCCTGCTTCAGCCTCCTAAGTAGCTGGGACTACAGGCGCCCACCACCATGCCCAGCTCATTTTTGTATTTCAGTAGAGACAGGGTTTTACCATATTGGCCAGGCTGGTCTCGAACTCGTGACCTCAAGTGATCCACCCGCCTCAGCCTCCCAAAGTGCTGAGATTACAGGCGTGAGCCATTGCGCCTGGCCTCTCTCTTTCTTTAAAGACTTTTCTTTCTTGAAGTTGAGCCACCCTTAGGGCTGAGCCTGCATGCACATGGGCCTGTGGGACCACTGGTGAGCACAGGGCTTATATTGTTTGCAGAGTATGTTTCTAGAACCTAGAAGCACATGGTATTTCCAGAATCCTCTTTAGGAACCCATGAATGTGTGTGTTTGTTCCGGGCCCCTGGAAGATCAGCTTGGAGAAACCTGAGTGGTGGAGGGAGTGGGTTGATGTCCAGGGAGGGGTGGGCTCATTTTGGAAAGGACAGAATGTGGGATCTGTCTTTGTTTCTGACTCCACAAGGCCTGCTCTCCCCTCCTTACTCATCCCAGCCTCTACCTTCCTACCCACACCTCTCTGTCCTCCTTCGTCATCTCTCCCTGGAAAATCAATTGTATTACCTCCAACATCCACCAGTCATAGGGTACGTATTCCGAATAGCAGGGACGCTGAGGAGCTGGGAAAAGTGCATTATAAGAGTAGATCCTGATTGGTAGGATTGACAGGTGTTGCTAGGAAAACTACTTTGGAAAATAGATAATCCGGGTAACTCACAAAGAACAAATATACATTAAAAATGTATGAGAAGCCAGGCGTGGTGGCTTACATCTGTAATCCCAGCACTTTGGGAGGCCGAGGTGGGCGGATCATCTGAGGTCAGGAGTTTGAGACCAGCCTGGCCAACATGGAGAAACCCCATCTCTACTAAAATTACAAAATTAGCTGGGTGTGGTGGTGCGCGCCTGTAACCCTAGCTACTCGGGAGGCTGAGGCAGGAGAATCACTTGAACTGGGGGGTGGAGGTTGCAGTGAGCCGAGATGGCACCACTGCACTCCAGCCTGGGCGACAGAGCGAGACTCTGTCTCGAAAACAACAACAACAACAAAATACACACACACACACACACACACACACACACACACACACACTAGAACTTGAAGCTGTAAGAAAATGTTAATTTCCTTTGATCTATTAGTATTGCTCTTGAGAATTTAAGAATAAAGAATTTATTAATTCTAAAAAGGAAAAGAGCTCTAAGTACAAAGATATCTATTTATTATTTTTTTAATCTCATACCTTCCTGCACACCAAAGATATTTATAGCAACATTGCTTAAAATAGAAAAGAAAAAAAAACAAAACCAAAACTGTAAACAGCCTCAGTGTTTCATGTGGCTGTATAATTCATGATACCTAGAGTCAGTGAGTATTGTGTCACTGTTATCTTAATATGAAGATAATGTTGTTTCTTGGGAAAATGTTGATGAATTTAGATGAAAAAAGTAAAACACAGAATTGCATAAGTGCATAAAAACTGATTACACTGCCCATAGTAAAAATTGGCATAATGCCAATAACTGGATTTGGGCAAAGAGGTTATGGGTAGAGCATGTGTGTGTGTTTGAAATTGCTTTAATAATTTATATAACATCTTTTTTTTATTTATAAGACAAGGCCTTAACTTCAAAGACTTTGGATTTGGGTGGGAAGGAGGCCAGGGGGAGGGACTCCCATCTGTTACTACCAGGAAAACCAAACAGCTCTGTCTTTATCAGCTACCGGCACTGCATGCAGGGGCTGGAGGATTCAGATGGGCCTGACTTCATAGACTGGCTGAGTAACTCGGGTTCACAGCGTGGACTCTGCCTCCAGCCCCCAGCTGGCTCAGGGCCCCAGACGATTTTCACACCTGCGTTTTCATGGAACCAGCCCAGTGAGCACGTGAGGCTTTGAGCCACCCGCCCACTCACCTCTGGGCTGCCTCTTACTTCAGGCCCCTGCCACAGCAGGAGGAAGCTGAGTCTTTCTTCTGCAGTTCCAACTGGCAGCAGGGAGGGTGTGCTTTGCTAATTGACCTCCTGCAGCCTTTTCTAACCCAGGTGGGGCCCTAGTGAGGTAGCGTCTTGCTCACTTACATTGTTGCACATATTAATTGAAGTGTTGAATTTAGTTGCTCTTTAATGCTAGCCACATCCATCCAGTTCACATCTGACCTAGCAGGCAGGGCCGTCTGACCCCACGTCTTGCCGTGAGATCTGCTGGGACGCGCAGCTGCAGGTTTGGGTGTGGCGCTGAGCAGCTGACTGTCTTCTGAGCACCTTCTCATATCTCTGTGGCATCTCAGAATCTCTGGACATCTGGTGAATGGCCTTCTCACCCACCACTCCCCTCGTGTGTAGTAGCCTTTTCTTCTGAGTGGAGAGCCTTATTTTCTTAACACGTGGAGTGTCTATTTGGAGGGTCCATGATCATCCCGTTGCTGTGACCAGCCCAGGAATGTGACCAGGGCAGGACAGGGAGACTCCTTGGTGTTGTGCAGAGTCCCCAGGTGGGTGGCAGCTGGAGAGCCCCCGGCGTACCTTGAGTTCGCAGGTTGGAGCCTGCTGAAGCTCTGCCCGACAGAATGCGTGTGGAGGGAGGCCCAGACCCAGCTGGGGCCCTGGTTATCTCCAGTGTATATTTGCTAAAACCAAATTTCAGAACTGTCAAAGACTGGAGTTTGTTCTTCTGTGATCAGATTGAAGTAGGACCTTGTGGCTGGAGGTGTGCCAGGGTCAGAGAGAAAATGGAGAGTATGGGCTCAGGGCACGCCTGGATGCTCATTAGGGGTACTCAGGCCAGCTTCATGTGTTCCATGGCAAGTGATGGCTGTGTGTGTGTGTGTTTGGAGGTGGGGCTGGTGACTGTCTCTGTGCTTTTCTAGAATATCGTGTTTATTCCTAGATGCCCCAACCTCATCTTCACGCCCTACAGTGGCATTGAGCCTGGTTCTGATCATTGCTGGTCATGTGAATATTAAGTGCCATAGTGTCTAAGGAACAAGCTGCCTTCTCGAGCCCAGGCCCCAGCAATAACTGTTCCTCTCAGTTCCCTAATTTAGAGACCACGTGTGTGCCCCAGGGTTGTCAGCAGCTCGGTTTTTTGAAGCTTGAAACACATTTCCATAGAAACAATGCTATAAATGGTGGTTGGGTACCTAGGCTAGCCCACAAAGAGCCCTGGTGTCACCTCAGAAGTTGCTGAAATAAGGTATTAGTGAAATTGAGAGCCCAAATGCAGCAGTCATAGTTAGTACCCAGGACGCTGGAGGTTAATTGGTGTGGGTTTATTTGTGTAATTTCCTTTCTTTGGTGAGAGGTGTTTCAAAGCTCTCTAGATAAGGGATGCTCTGTAGGCACTCCCCCGCACCATCCCCACCCAGTCACAATCCCTCCTCTCCCGGTTTACATTCCTTCTTCTTTCCTCATCAAGCCAGGGGCCTGGGCCTACCTGCCCTCTGGTATGTTTATGATGAGGAAATCCTGTTCAGTGGCCCTTACATCATCATTGTCATCATCACCATCATCATCATCATCATCATCGTCATCATCATCATCACCGTCGTTACTGTTATATAAATCATCTTGATCAACTTAACAGAATAAACATGACACCTATTTAGAATTCTCTTCTGATTGCTTCTAATATTCCTTTGCAGTTTTAACACAGCTTATAAGTTCACCTGACATATTTTTTGGTGCTGATTTTGTCACTTAACATGACTTCACCAAATGGTTTCATCAGATAGTTTCCCTCTGTCCATCCTTTCATATTTCATTCTGTTACTCTTCCTTACCGTACCATAATCTGAATGGGCTCTATATACAGGTGCTGTGGAGCATCTTTTGTAAAAACTTCCTTGTGGTGACATTTTAGATTATTTTTATGGGATATAGTCCACCAACCGTAATTACCTGGTCAGCGTTTTAAACTCTTGCAACACTAAATATATACACCTACAATATACCCGCAAAAATTAAAAAAAAAAAACAAAAAAAAAAACCCAGCCGGGCACGGTGGCTCACACCTGTAATCCCAGCACTTTGGGAGGCCGAGGCGGGCAGATCACCAGGTCAGGAGTTTGAGACCAGCCTGGCCAATATGGTGAAACCCCGTCTCTACTAAAAATACAAAAATTAGCTGGGCGTGGTGGTGCGTGCCTACAGTCCCAGTTACTCGGGAGGCTGAGGCAGAAGAATTGCTTGAACCCGGGAGGCAGAGGTTGCAGTGAGCCAAGATTGCACCACTGCACTCCAGCCTGGGCAATAGAGTGAGACTCCATCTCAAAAACAAAACAAAACAAAACAAAACAAAAACCCTCTTGCAACACAATGCCAAATCACATTCTAGAAAGATTTAAACTGTTTATGGTAGCACAGCAACGTATATGCAACTGCCCTGCCAACAGCAGCTTTCCTGTTTTATTTATTTACTTATTTTCATGTTGGGGCGGGCCATAATGGGGCCTTAATGATATTCCAATTTGCATTTCCTAAATTGCTGCTGATGTAGGTTTTTCCTCTCGATGATTTACTGATGTGTTTCCTCATGTGTCAAACCCTGCTCATGTCCTGTGACTGCAGAGCCTCCCGCCTCATTTATCTCCTTGAACCACTTTCCTGTTGGGAAACGGCAAGTCCTCTCTTCCTCACTGGCCCCACCCCTCACCTTGTCTCACTCATCTCCACACCTGCCCAGCTCACCACCTCAGTGACTCTGGGGAGGGAGTGAGAGGGAAAGACCCTGGAAGCCCTTGTGATGGAGGCCACAGGGCAGGAGGTAGATGCGAGGGAGACCCTGGGAGGAGCCACAGGCTGTTAGAGCTGGAGGGGGCACTGGAATGCATCTGGCCCAGGAGTTACGCACTCAGAGGCCAGCAGAGAACAGAAGGGATGAAATGACAGAGGCTGGCAGAGTGTGATGATAAATGACAGTGACTCGTGGCCTGGGAATGGGTGGGATCTTTGGAAAATTGGAAAGTCTATCCCACCTAAGCAACCCTCCCTGGCAGTGCTACTCAGTTCCACCTCCAAGAAGGAGGTTTCCAATTTTTTTTCCATGACAAGCCAGAAGTTCTGATTTTTAGTTTGTTTTCTGATTTAAAAAAAATATTGGCAATAGTCTGGGTGCAGTGGCTCACGCCTGTAATTCCAAAACTTTGGGAGCTGACACTGGCAGATCACCTGAGGTCAGGAGTTCGAGACCAGCCTGGCCAACATGGTGAAACCCCATCTCTACTAAAAATATAAAAAATTAGCCAGGCGTGGTGGTGCACACCTGTAGTCCCAGCTACTCGGGAGGCTGAGGTGGGAGAATCGCTTGAACCTGGGAGGTGGAAGTTGTAGTGAGCAACAGAGTAAGGCTGTGTCTCAAAAAAAAAAAAAAAAAAAAAAGTTGGCAATAAATTCAGTTAAAATAAAACATAATATGTGAGTCAAATAAAACACATCTGTGAGGGAGAATGGCCCATGAGGCTCCAGTCTGTAATCCCTCATTTTATTAAACTTCTTATTGGGAAACACGGGCCCAGAGAGGTATCCTCATGTAGCAGAGAGAAAGCTTCAGAGGGTCCAGAGGTCAAATGCCATCTGTATGACCTTGGCAGAGCTGTTTAACCTTCTTGAACCTCAGCTTCCTTATCTATAAAATGGGAAAAATGGCTTCCTTCAAGGGTGCTGGGGTGGACTCAGTAGGCTCATATCATCTCAAGCATGTATTTTTTATTTTTTAATTTTTTTGAGACAGGCTTTCTCTCTGTCACCCAGGCTAGAGTGCTGAGTGCGGCGGTGTGATCTCGTCTCACTGCAACCTCTGCCTCCTGGGCTCAAGCGATTCTCCCCACTCAGCCCCCCAAGTAGCTGGGACTACAGGCACACACCACCATGCCCGGCTAATTTTTGTATTTTTTGTGGAGATGGGGGTTTCACCATGTGGCCCAGGCTGGTCTTGAAGTCCTGAGCTCAAGCAATCCACCCACCTTGGCCTCCCAGAGTGTTGGGATTACAGGCGTGAGCCACTGTGCCAGGCCAATGTCAGGCATTTAGTAGCTGCCTCACAGATGTGAGAAAAATCCTGTGTAGGTCATCCAGAAAATTAGAGGAAGAAATAGGCTTAGAACTTTTCTCTCATGACTCCCAGTGCAGAGCTTGTTCCACATTACATGGGCCTACTTTCATGGGAGTTTCCAGAGGTGTCTGGACACAGGGGTCCTTCTTAACTCTGGGAAATTGTAGGTTATTTTATGAGAGCCTTTTTCCCCCCACCCTTGAGACAGAGTTTCCTTCTGTTGCTCAGGCTGGAGTGCAGTGGTGCAGTCATAGCTCACTGCAGCCTCAAACTCCTGGGCTCAAGCAATCCTCCCACCTCAGCCTCCCAAGTAGCTGGGACTAGAAGTGCATACCACCACACCTGGCTAATTTTCTTTATTTTTTTTTCGAGACAGGTCTTGCCGTGTTGCCCAGGCTGGTCTCAAACTCCTGGCATCAAGCACAATCCTCCTGCCTTAGCCTCCCAAAGCGCTGGGATTATAGGCATGAGCCACCATGCCCAGCCCCTATGACAGCTTGTTTGCCCAACAGCTACTGAGCTCAGATAATGGGCATCATAGCTCTGTGGGCTTTGCAGTGCAGGCCTCAGAATTTAGGAGACTGAGCCTCAATAGTTATTGATAATACTAATACCATACACCACTGAACCTAAGAAGCCATTGATTAGAAGATGTAGTGTTATTTTATATACAGCTAAGAAAGAGGCCAGGAGTGGTGGCTCACGCCTGTAATCCCTGCACTTTGGGAGGCTGAGGCCAGCGGATCACTTGAGGTCAGGAGTTTGCGACCAGCCTAGCCAACATAACGAAACCCCATCTCTACTAAAAATACAAAAATTAGCTGGGTGTGGTGGCGAGGCCTGTAATCCCAGCTACTTGGGAGGCTGAGGCAGAAGAATCACTTGAACCCAGAAGTCGGAGGTTGCAGTGAGCTGAGATCATGACGCTGCACTCCAGCCTGGGTGACAGAGTGAGACTCCATCTCAAAAAAAAAAAAAAAAAAAAAATGGCCGGGCAGTGGCACACGCCTGTAAACCCAGCACTTTGGGAGGCTGAGACGGGCAGATGATGAGGTCAGGAGATTGAGACGACCATCCTGGCTAACACGGTGAAACCCCGTTTCTACTAAAAATACAAAAAATTTAGCTGGGCATGGCGACAGCTGCCTGTAGTCCCAGCAACTGGGGAGGCTGAGGCAGGAGAATGGCATGAACCTGGGAGGTGGAGCTTGCAATGAGCCGAGATTGCACCACTGCACTCCAGCCTGGGTAACAGAGCTAGACTCCATCTCAAAAAAAAAAAGAAAAGAAAAGAAATGGAAGAGGAAGTGCTGCTAATTAAACTATACAGGCTATCAATTGTAAGATGCATCCTGATTTCAGAGATGTTAAAATGGAGGAAATGTGTATCTTAGAATCAATGAAATAGAACAGTAATAAAAGTAACAGCAATCTGTTACATTGTATTGCTTACTTTAAATATTCACATATACTGTTTTATTCATGCATTTATCAACAGGCATTCACTGAGCACCCACCATGTGCAGGCACTGTATAGCTACCAGGGATACTAAGGTGAGGAAGATCTAGGCTGTGCCCTTCAGGAGCTCCCATCCTAGTAGATGGCACTCTGATTCCAGATATGCTGCAATAAGCAGGTGTAGAACAATGTGCAGGTGATGGAGTAAAGATAAACAGAGGATGCCATGGGAGTTTAGGGAACAGAGTGGCTGTCTGGTCCTTAGGAGCAAAGACAGAGGTTTGGGTGCATGGGATTTATTTAAGAAATTGTCTCTGGAGGAAGGGAGGAAGGGAAGCAGGGTAGAGCCGGGGAAGAAGCCAAGTAAGGAGGTGTGTGTTGCTGCTGGAGCATGAATTGCACCACTATTGAATTGGTCCCACCAAAGGCCCCTTTTGAGAATGGGGTAGCTGTGAGTCCTTGAAAGCCAACACTCAGAGCATCTGGGGGACATTGTACCAACTTTACAAAGTAGATCTGGGGCTCCAACAGTATACACTCCAGTGTCCTTCCTCTACTTGGAGGAGTCAATGAACGCTTCCTGGAAGAGCTGCCATTAAGGTCAAGTCTGGTGGGAGATCTGGGTGTGGGATAATGTGGGGATCAAGGTGGCGAGAGAAGGAGCATGTGTGAAGATATGAGGGTGAGAATGCAGGAATCTTGGAGAACTTCAGGTTGTTTAGCCATGTGGGCTGAGGCTGGGAAGTGGGGCAGAGCCAGATCGTGTGGGAAAGGTGCCTAACAGTCTAGCTAACAGTCTCAGCTTTATGCAGTAGATGATGGGAGCTACTGAAGAGAGGTGTGATCACTCTGATGGCAGTGTGGATGGTAAAGTGTGCAAAACCAGAAGCAAGGAAATAGATGAGAAAAAATGATAGCCAACACTTATAAAAGACTTAGTGTGTGCCAGACACTGTTTAAGTAAGCTCTTACTATCATTCCGATTTTGCAGATGAGTGGTTGAGTAACTCGCTGAAGGTCATCAAGCTAGTGTGAGCCAAGATTTGGACTCAGGTCTCAGCCTGTGCTCTTAACCTGTACACCCCCATAAGCATGAATGTTGGATTCTAGTCCATGATGTATCAGTATTTGTTTTCATTTAAAATCAGTGCTTTAAAGCATGCCCTGTTGCACACATTGGGTCTCTGGAGTTCCTGTTCCTCTTGGCCCATTGCCACAACACAGGGAAGCCAAGCTCCAGTGAACAGCCAGTGAGGAAGTCTGTCTGGGACTAGTTCTGCAGAGGGCATGGAACTGTGCTGAAGGGAGGCCTTTGAGAAGTTGGCAGCTCTCGGTCTGTGAAGAAAGGGCGTTTCAGTCCTGTGGCTCTGCTGGCCTGCCCTCCCTGGCAGCCACACCTGTTTTGTCCTTCTCCCTACACCCGGCCAGACGTCTCTCCCAGAGTGACAGCAGCAACTGGGGACATGTACAGAGGCTCCTTCTCAGGCCTGACAAAGGCACTCAGAACCTGGCCCAGGCCTGCAGGGCAGGGAGGCTGGGGAGGGGGCAGGTGGGAGGGCCAGGGACACAGACAGCTGTGGGCTGGTGTGGCAAGCATGGCCCTGCCCCAGAACAGGTGAAGTCAATGTGAGCGGAGGAGGAGGGTCCCCTGGGGTTTTTTCCAAGGATAAAAGAGAAGACAGTGCAGAGACATCTCAGCACACAGTGGCTTAACTTCATGACTGGGGTGGTTGTGAGCTCGCGGTTTGCTCAGAAAAGACCTGGCAAAAAGGGCTGAGAAGACACAGCTGGTGGAGGGGTGTTCCTACTCAGGCTGGGAGGACAGCCCTGTGGAAAAGTGTGGTGGAAAGGACACAAAGAACAGGCTGGGAGAGAAGCGTTGGAGGACACCCCTGATGAGACATTGAGTCAATGCCAGAAAAAGTCTCTCTAGGCAGTGCCCATGAGAGGGTTACCTGAGGCCCATGGGGTCTTTTCAGGGAAAAGAACTAGGTGGTTTTTTTTTGTTTTGTTTTGTTTTTTTTTTTTTTTTTTTTTTTTGAGACAGGGTCTCCCTCTGTTGCCCAGGCTAGAGTACAGTGGGGCAATCTGGGCTCACTGCAACCTCCATCACCTGGGTTCAAGCAATTCTCATGTCTCAGCCTCCCGAGTAGCTGGGACTACAGACGTGCGCCATCACACCTGGCTAACTTTTGTATTTTTGGTGGAGACAGGGTTTTACCATGTTAGCCAGGCTGGTCTCGAACTCCTGGACTCAGATGATCCGCCCGCTTTGGCCTCCCAAAGTGCTAGGATTACAGGCGTGAGCCATGACGCTGGGGCTGGAACTAGGTTCTTAAGAAGGGATAACCTAGGTTGGGGAGGAGATACAGGGTAAAACAGTAAAAATAATTAATTGTAGCCTCTTATATGTACATAGCATGATTGAGTTATAAAGCAGTTTTTTGTCCTTTTGATCCTCTCAAGCCCCTGGAAGGTGGGCATCCTTTCGTTGTTCATGCAATGAACACTTAAACAGTGCATCTGTTATGGGCCTAAAAAGTGAGGTTCAGGGAAGGTCAGTGACAGTTTTCCTAAGTCCCTGTGTTTTCTACACCCTTCTTTTTTTTCTGTTGTAATTGTAGGTAATGAGGTCCTGGAGGTTGTACTTTAGTTCTCTAGAGGGAAACGACAATAGGGACACAAGAACACAAGGGACATAGGGACCTGGCTGGCATTGTGGACTTGGGATGCCCTCAACAATATTTGTACTCCCAGTTCCCCAGGCTCTGGTAAAGGTTGGTTGTTTACTTAAACACACCACGTGTGCTGGCCTCATTGGGGGAGGAACAGTGGGAAAAGGACAGCAATGCAGGTATGGAGCCTGGGGAGAAAGACACTTCTCTTTTAAATAGTGATGATGGCTGCAGACTTATTGGAGGAAGGTGGCTGGGAGGTGAGAACCTGGCTTCCTTGGAAGCTTTCCCCCAACTTCGTAACAGCTTTATTGAGATATACTTCACACACCATAAAATTCACCCTTGGAAGATTTTCTTTTTTCTTGAGACAACGTCTCACCCTGTCACCCAGGATGGAGTGCAGTGGCGTGAACACAACTCACTGCAGCCTTGACCTCATGGGCTCAAGCAATCCTCCTACCTCAGCCTCTTGAGTAGCTGGGACCACAGGCATGTGCCACCACACCTGGCTAATTTTTGTATTTTTTTGTAGAGACTGGGTTTTGCCACGTTGCCTAGGCTGGTCTCTAAACTCCTGCGCTCAAGCACTCCTCCTGCCTCAGCCTTCTAAAGTTCTGGGGTTACAGGTGTGAACCACTGTGCCTGGCCTCATCCTTGGAAGATTTTAATGGTCTAGATACTGCTGATGAAACACAGGGCAGTGACAGACCGCTCTGAGTGGAGTCCAGAGAGCTGATGTGGCCCTAGGAAGCCTCTCAAATTTGCCATATTCTACCTTTATTGGGAATCAGAGTTTAGGATTCTGTCTAGGGTGCTTTATTTCCTGGAGTGTTTCTCTCTTGTCACACTCCCTGGTAACTGGAGCTCTGTACTCCTTTTTCGTGCAGTTTGTAAAGAGGGTTGAGGGTGGAGAAAATCCAACTCTGTGGATAAGGTCTCTGGAACACCTCCCCATTTCCCTGAAAGGTCAACCTTCTTGGTTGCCCCAGAGACTTGTAGCAGGGGCTGGAGCTTCTAAAACCAAAACTTTCACTTCACACGTCAGTGATTCTGCACCGTCATATCTGCAGCAAAACTGACCTCCAGGGCTTTCCCGGAAGCGCTGCAGCTTTCTTTACATAGCCTCATCTGCCCGCCTTTTTGAGGTAGACTTCTCCTGCCAAGGGGGGGCTATTTGGTATAGTCTTGAGCCCTCCTCCCCTGCACACATGTGTGCCCCTTTTCTTCTCTCTCCTTTCTTAGGTGGCCTGAATTTGGAAGTTTAGCTGTAGTGAAGGGCGGTGCCGCTCCAAGGTGAGCAAGGCTCCTTCAGGGCCACTGACTTCTCTGTTTCCCCTGCCACCTGCCTCCACTATGTATGCTGCTTCCTGGGCCACTCCTTTGGAGTGGCTTTCACCTGTTCCCTGAAGGCTGGGCCCTGGCTCCATGATGGCAGGCTCTTCTAGCAATGTGCTTCCCAGTCAGGTTTTCTGGTTGGTTGGGAACATCCCTGGGCTGGTCTGCACAAGCTCTTAGGGGCTCACTCTGGGCTGGCCTAAGGCCAACTGCAGGGGCTGGGCTCTCAGGGGAGGTGAGGATGGCCACAGGTCTGCAGAGGAACTTGGCAGCAGTGGGCACTGGAGACCAAATGGCTTTGCTTTTGCTTCCCTCACTTGGATGTGTTGTCAGTGGGAGGGAAGAAATCAGGCAAATGAAAAAAGTAAAAAGGCTCTACCCTGATCCTTTGCCAGGAGCCCTGAGAGTCTGGCCTCTGCTTGGGGGTCTGCAGGCCTGAGCACTGCAGTTCCTCAATTGCTCACTGCCTTCCTCTGGGGGAGGAGCAGAGAGGTCACAGATGCTTGGCTTGCCCTGTGACCTGGTGCAATTCACTTAACCTCTCTGAACCTCAGTACATCCACAGATTGAGAGAGATAAAACTCACATGCAGGGCTCTTCAGGAGACTGTATGGAGAAGTGCTCTGAGAGCTGCCAGGAACAATACTGTCATCACAGATGCTAAATCGGGGAGCCCGGGCTTTTTTTTGTAGAAGGTGGTTTCCCTAGCTCCTCTATTCACTTACTGTAATCACAGAATCATGGATCTTGAACTGGAAGGGATCTCAAGAGGTCCTCTGGTCCAGTCCTGTGGCATAATTACCTGTATTTTGTAGATAAGATTGTTTTAAGTGTTCCTTATTTTGACATATCTATCATAACATGGTGCAAATAAGCCCTTCTCCTCTTGGGGAGGTGTGACTTCCAGGTGTACATGTACGCAGGTGCTCCAGCCAGCAAAGAGGTGGAAGAGGACAGGAAAGCCATGCCCCCTTAGAAGCAAGTGCAGGTTTGGCAGGATTTCTGGGCAGAAGATCCAAGTTTTGCCTGTGTCCTCCACACCCCACCCTGGCCCTGTAGGCCCAGTGAGTGTGTGAGAATCATATTCTGCTGCCCCTCCCTCCTCTTCTCCCTGAGAAAGTGAGGGATGCACCTGGTTCTCAGGTCTGGCCACAGTGTTTTGAAAAGTGGCTGCCAGGACACATGGTATTCTTCGGTGGTTTTTCTTTCAAAGGAAAATCTCCTTGTGACCCATCTCCTTGAAAAACAGCCACCGCCACCACCGCCGCCGCCACCACCACCACTGCACCACCACCAAAAAACTTGGAAGGAAGAATAGGACACACTCCCCTGAACTTTCCCCTGGCCCTAGAGCCCCATTGAATGTGGGGGCCAGAACCAACCTCTTGAGCTGCAAAAATGTTTTCCATCTTCCCACCAGTCAGGCAAGGAGGCATCAAGGCCTGGACCTGAGAATTGATCAGGGGGATATTTAGGGAAGACAGGGGAAAATGTGAGTATGGAGTGAAAAGCCGCTCAACTCTGGCCTGAGTTGCTAGATTTAAATCCAGGAGATTTTCCTCACCTAAGCGATGGAGATGGTGGGTCCTTTCTAGGGACTGAGGCCAGTTTCTCAATAACCTTTACACGCACCAGGACGCTTTTGAGCCAGAAAGTGAAACTCGGAGAGTCTGTTAATAAAATGCCATGGAGAGGATTGTGCATGATTTACCGTATCCAAAACCAGAGAGAGTTTCTTTGTGGAAGAAAGCGACTTGTGCCTTCCCCAGCATCACACACACACTTTCCTGGCAGGCTCAATGGGTTTCCAAACATTTCGTCACCGTCTCCTCCTGACCTTGGTGTGAAAGGAACTAGCAGCGTGGCCCGCCAGCAAAGCCATCGGGGGCGCCAGCCTGGGCGGGGGATGGGGACGGCGACCGACTCGTGAGTGGAGGTGAGGTCTGCTGGAAATCCCCAGCCCCGGCCGCCGCCTGAGGTTTAAGGACGCCTTCCCCGGCCTTATTTGGTCGCAGGAAGTGGGCGGCGCCGGGCCTGCTGGCTGAGGCCGCCCCGAGACAGTTGTGCTGATGAAGTGGTAGAGCTGGTTCCTGCTCGCCGCGGTGCCGCGCGCGCCGGCCGGCCGCTGGGCGCTCCGCGCTCCCAGCCTCGAGTTGTGCAATCCTTTGTAGCACGCCAGAGTCCTCCTCCTCCGCTGTTGCCTCTCGCCCTCTCTCTTTTTTTTTTTTTCAAGCTGTGAGCTCAACCGATGAGTCAGAGCCGTGCAATCCTGACACTGCATCGCAGGACTGGGGGTGACACGGAGGGAGGCAGAGCGCTCGCGAGGCGGACGGCACGGGTGCGGGGCGCGCCGAGGCTCCTGCATCGCAAGCGGGGGGTGACAGCCCGCGCGTCCCGCCCGGGCCCTGCCAGCAAACTTCTCAGCCTCGGGAGGCGCGGGCTGGCGGAAGCCCCGCGAGCGCCGCGGGGAGGCGACGGCGCCTGTTTGTTTTTAAAATCGGGAGTGCGTGCAGGCGGCTGGAGTCCCGGAGGCGACCGAAGGCGGCGACCCGCGGCGGAAGGGGGACAGCCGAGCCCGGAGCCCGGAGCCCGGGCAAGAGCTGGGTAAGTGGGGCTGCCTGGCCGGCGGCCGAGGCCTGCACGCGGCGGGGCCGGCGAGGGGACCCCAGGCGGCGCGCGAGCTGTGGCTGCTCGCACGGCGGGTTGCAGCTCTGCAGGCGCGGCCCGGAGAGGGGGCCGCGGGGGCCGCTGCGCTCGAACTTCTGCGGCCTGGGCGGCGGTGGAGCGGGCGCGTGTGGCCGTGCGGGGGCCGCCTGCAGCCCGCCGCCCCCTCCCCCGCGGTCCGCGCCCTCGGCCCGCAGCTGCGTGTGCAGCGCAGCCCCGCGGTGTTTGTGCAGCTACGCAGCTTGCGCGCGGCCCCCGCCCACCCGGGCGCGGCCCCGCCAGGAAAGCCCTCCCCACCCGGCGGCCCGCGGCGGCTCGGGAATCCGGCTGCTCCTCCTCCGCTGGAGAGAAACGTGGTGTCCGTGGGGACCGGCTGACGTGACGGAGCCCAGGCCCGGAAGGCGCGGCGAGGGGCTAGCCAGCTGAGGGAACTTGGCGCGGGAGCCCCTTCCCCTGCCAGCGTGCACGGGAAAGTGGGCCTGGACGCGGCGTCCACGCCAGGAGTTTGGGGGACAGAGGTGCAGGGGCGTTGGGGAACTGGGGCAAATGCAGTCAGCAGAGGCCTAGGCTGGAGCGCTTCGCGCGGGCGGGCGCACCTCAGACCTGTCATCCTCCCGCGCGCCCCCGCACGCCCGCGCCGCCGCAGCCCTCCCAGCCCGCGCGGTGCCTCGCGGGGAGCTGTGTTCCCTGGTGCCTGGCGGCAGCGCCGAAACCCGGGATTCGGCCGGGCCCTGCATATGGCCGGCTTGGTGGAGCTGGTCACGTCGCCTCCCAAGTCGCACATGCAGGACCATGTGTGTCAGGTTGCCCCCAAGGCCTCTGGGTAAAGGTCTAGGGGAGGAAGGGGAACTTCGTGTGCCCTGGGGCCTTCAGGCTTCAGCCCCAAGGCGGGCCGACATGGAGGAGGTACCTGCCACAGAAAGTGGAGGCCGGGTGTCCGTCCCAGCCCAGCCTCCAGCGAGAGCTGGTGAGAAGATGAAAGGGGAAGTTATATGCCCCATTTAAAACTTTGTTGGTCACAACTACGGTGGCTGCTTCCTGTTTCCACCATCCCACGTGGGACCTGTGTGCCAGCCTGTGGAGCCTCGCGCGGGGGGCGGTGGGATGGGGGAAGAGAGGCTGGCCACGGAGGCCCCGGTGGCCCGCGTATGCAGGGGATCCCTGTTGGCAGCTGCGGCTGGGGGAGGGAGGGGATGTCTGGCTTGCTCCAGCAGGGGGAGCCTGGCCAGGTGATCTGGGATCTTCTTGTTCCTGTAGCTTCAGGGTTGAGACTGAAGGCCTAGTGAAGGTGGACCGAGAAGCCAGTCCTCCCTAGGGGGCCTCAGCTGAGGGGAGAAACCACCTGTCTTGCTCTAGAGCCTCCCACCAAAGGTGTGGCACACGCCCCTTTTGGATCAGAGAAATGCACCCTTTCCTTGGGTGTTAAGTGGCTTCAGAACCCAGGGAAAAGGAGAAGCCTTCCCGGGTTGAGAATTCGTAGGTCTTCCTTTTCCAACTGCTCTGGACAGTGAATAATAGGAGCGTAAACATTCAATTACTGTGATAAACCATCTCGTTGCATGGCCCTGGTCCAGTCTCCACTCTAATTGGATTGGCCTCTGGCTGGTTACTCTGGTCCGTGTAGCTCCCGGGGGGACAAGGGGGTGAAGAACCTGGAGGATGCCCCCAGGTCATACAGCTTGCCAGCTTGCTCTGGAACAGCCTAGCCACTGCCAGTGTGGCCTCTCCAAGTGCCAGCAGAACCCCCACTCCCGTGACTCTGTCAGCTCCTCACCCCGCCCCAGGAAAGAGCGCCCTGGAGTGCCCATGGGGATGAGAATTTAATTTTTACATGTGGGATTTTAAAATAGCCCCAGTGTTTGACCCTGTGTGCTGCTGCTTTCAATAAGTGGAACACAAGAAAAGACAACATGCAGTTGTGGATTCAGCTGAGGGCCTCCTGTGTCTAGAGTCCCCAGAGAAAGGCTGCCCAGGGGTGCCAAGACCTCTGACAGAAGAGGGGAAGGGGAATGGGCCCAGTCCAGGAATCTTCAGGTTGAGAGCCCCTCTCTTGCATTTGGGTCTCCCAGAAGAAAACTTTGCTCATGCTGGGGTGGGGACAGCCACAAAGTGGCTGGGGGTTTCCAGCTTATCCTTCTAATCCTGTTTCAAATGCCACTTCTGAAGGCTGTAGCCATCTTCTGAACACTCATTTCCACCTTATGTAGTTATTTGTGTACATACTGCAGTGTGGTGGTCAAAAACAAAGACTCTGAGTTAGAGTTCCTATACAGTATCTCCTTCATAGAGTTGCTGTGAGGATTCTGTGAGTTAGTATACGTAAAATGCTTAAAGCACATTTCAGTATTTGGTAGCCTCTGCTTGAATGGGTCCCACAATGCTGCTTGGCATCTAGTAAGTGTTTAGTGTTTTTTTTTTTTTTTGGTTGTTAGAGATAGGGTCTTTCTCTGTCGCCCAGGCTGGAGTGCAGTAGTGCGATCTCAGGTCGCTGCAATCTCAGCCTCCTGGGCTCAAGCAATCTTCCCACCTCAGCCTCCCAAGTAGCTGGGACTACGGGTACACATCACCACACCTGGCTAATTTTTCTATTTTTGTAGATATGGGGTTTTGCCATGTTGCCCAGGCTGGTCTTGAACTCTTGGGCTCAAGAAATCCACCCACTTTGGCCTCCCAAAGTGCTGGGATTACAGTCTTGAACTACCTCACCTGGTCTTAGTGCATGTTAGTTGAACAAATTAGTGAAAGATCTCCATCAAAAAAAATGTGTACTTGTCATGTGTTGGGCCCAGTGAGTCCCTGCTCCTGGAACCTCCTCAGATTGCATCACTGGTTTCAAAAATGTCAGTCCACCGTGGGTGATTCTGGGGCTGGTGAACCCAGTTTCCTGGCACTGCCCTGTAGCTGGCCTTGTGGAGTGCATGTGTCGGTCATCCTGACCCTAAGGGGACCTCAGGGTGAAAGAGTTGTGGAGCCATCTCCCTAGGGATCTGCTAGCCTGGGCACTTCCTTTGGTCAGCCCAGATTGGCACCCTTCCTGTGTGTGTGCAGGCGTGCATGCATCAGTACAGAAGCAGCCTGGGGCTCCATTCTTCCCTGACTCACTGCAGGTGGCAGGAAGCAGAGCCAGTGGCCGCATTCTGTTGGAGGAATTGCTTCTTTCTGCACATGAGAACTCTTGACTCTGGGACTGAAAAATTGCATGCTGGGCCGGGGCTAGGGTGGAGTAGGCTGAAATCCCCAATTCTTACTAAGGGACCTGCATTTGCATTCGAAGCAACATTCAGGATACTGTGAGACTATGAGCTCATTTTATGAATCAGAAGCATTACAGCATAACTTTAATGTTGGAAACTGCAATTTGGAATCCAGATCACCCTCCCTCCACCTCAGCGCGCACGCGCGCGCGCACACACACACACACACACACACACACACTGACATGGGCTCTCGCAGTCACACACTTGGGAGCAATAATAGTTGGAGCATCAGTTCAGATTCTGGAGGCCTCCAGCAAAATTCATCCACACCGACTTCTGCTTCCACACTCAGAACGCCGTTCCTGGATGGTGTGTGGACAGTCACTTGGGCAGTGACTGAAGGAAGTCTGATGGGTGCGTGGGAATGAGGCCTGGGCAGACCTGAGTTCATACCCCAGCATCTCCTCTTGCTGTGTGGCTTTGGGCATTGCTTAACTTCTTGGGCCTCAGTTGCCTCACCTGTAAAATGTGGATGATACTAGTACTTCATAGGCTGTGAAGATTAGACAGGATTATGCATGCAGAGTGAATGACACATACTAGGTATTCAACAGATGGCAACTCTCATTTCACCAGTTCCCACTGGATCCAGTGTGTTTGCCTTTGACTCCTATCAAGGAAGAGAAAATGAAGGGTGTCCTGTTTATAGTAGGAAAGCAATCTACCAGGCCACTGAAGCTTGTATAAATGAAGTTTATTGTGCCCTGGGAACAACAGCTTGATCCACTCCACCCTAGACATGTGGCCCAGACCCAGTGTCTGTGTGCCTTTGAGAGGGACTGTGGCCCTGCAGCCGAGGGTTGAGGGCCCAGCTTCCCAGAGATCAGATTGTGCTCTCAGGAACCTACCCGCCCAGGCCCCAGGCTGAGCTGCTCACGTGGGTGGGCAGGAGGAAGGCTGCTTTCTCAGCCAAGGAAAAAAAGTCCCCTGTTTGCTTCACCTGAAGCCTCGCAGTGTGACCTCGCAGGAGGTTTGGGTAGAGCCAAGGGTGGGAGTTTTTCCTTAAAGACTGCTTTGGCTCTTTTACCCATTAAAATTATGTGCAACGGTGAAGGAAACACCAAGAATTATATAAGAAGAAAGTTGCCACTGTCAGAGGAGAGCCGGAGTTGTGCTGGGGTGGGGCTGGGGGTCTCCCTGAGGGCTGCAGTTGCTGGCTGTCATTCTCGGCTGGTGGGGAAGAGCTGGTGGGGAAGAGCCGGGGCTTGGGGCTGAGGCTTCCCTGGCAGCCGCCCTTGCTGTTGCTCTTCCTGGAACACAGCCTCGTGCTGTGGCCAGCCAGGGAAGGTGCTCCCTGTTCCCTCTGCCTTTCTCCCAGCCGCAGGGAGCTTTCGTGGTGAGAGCATTTTTTCCAGGCAGTGCTTCTTCCTTCAGGAGTCCTGGGAAGGAAGGAGAGTGGGGAAAGCACAGGGCAAGGTTTATCCCAGTTAAAGCTTGGATGGAGAGAGTGAGCTACAGTAGGCTTGTAGCTGGCCAGAAGGGGCTTCTCTCTAAAGCCGCTCAGCTTCTCTGGGGAATTGGAATCCAGACAAGAAGGAAAATGGTGAGAGATTTTGATTCCCTGCTTTTCCCAGTAGTTGGGCAGACAGAGGACCCTATCCAACTTACCGTTGCCAGAACTTGCCATTTCTTTAGTAGGTAAGGCCCCCATAGCTCAGAAATGGGCTTAAGTGATAACTTGCAACCCCGAGACGGCATGTGAGCTGGCAGTTCCTGGCACAGATCCTCCTCCCCTCCTGGCCTTCCTCTGTCTGAGGCCCCAGCTGGTCTTGGGTCATAGTCCTAATTCCAGAGCTGGGAAACCATTTGGGACATCTAGTCCGAATCCTTCATTTTCAAATGGGGAAGCCGAGAGGTGGTGAGATGCTTGAGGTTGTAAAGACTGTCTCCACTTTCACTTTGGGAGGGTGGAAAGGGACTGCTCCTGTGTCCTGCGCCTGGTGGCTGCTTCTCCCAGTTTGGAAGCTGGGAGGGCAGCTTGAGCGCAGGAAGAATCCAAAGGAATACTGTCTTGGCTCCTGGGTGTGGCTCAGTCCTCAGCTGGCTCCATAGTTATTTATTTGTTTGCATGTGCGTGAGTGAGTCCTGTGGTTGGGAGGCTGGATCTGAGTGAAAGCAGAAGTACCCACACTGTGTCAGCTGTGCAGCACACAACGGGGGACAGTTGGGAGGGGAAAAACGGGGCAGAGGCCCATCTGCATGGTGGCTGCTAGTTGTGCTTTCTGTCCCTGTTGCAGTGCTTGCACACTTGAGTGTAAACAGCCCTTCTGTGTTGCTAGCAGCTGCCTTTCCTTACTGGCTTTGGGCAGAAGAGGCGCCAAAAATAACCAGGCGGGCACTTCCACTTGTGGGACATTTACTGTGGTGGCCTCTGGGCAGGCTTGCTTGCTTTCTGTAGGCCCTGTGTCTCTGCCACACTGGAGTCCCTTCTACTTCCTGCAGCCCTTCCTCAGCCTCCCTCTGGCCATCGCACCTTCCCCTTTATTGCTCTTCTTAGAGTGAATCCAGGAGGTGGCGGCTCATCCTTTGGGCCTGGAAGCTCTGCCGGTATTATCTGGGAAATACCCTCATCCCCCTGTATCCCTGTAGGCAGGCCCTGCTGGCATAGCTGAGTTTAAAGGAGGCCTGTGCTGGGTGCCCTCTGGACTTTCTGGCCAGACCTCTCTCTCCTGGGTCTGTAGGCCGGAAGCTCTGCGTGCCTGCAGAGCCCCACACTGTTGCTAGGACTTTGAGTCTCCCTGTCCCGCCCTTGCCTGGCCAGCCTTGCTCTCAGCCAGCTGTGGAACTGGAAGAGTTGGACTATTCATTTCCTCCAAGGTGTTAAAGACTGATAACGATGTCTGAGCCACCCCTACCCAGCAAGGGAGACAGGAAACACATTTATTGAGTGCGTACCCTGTGCCAGGCGGCGCTTCATCTATGTATTACCTCATTGAATCCCACAATAACTGAGATGAAACTGTTGTGCCCATTCACCAATAGGGAACCCCAGGCTCACAGAGGCTGGTGATTGGAGAAGCCAGCACACATTGCCCCTGACTACTTTTACCCTGCAGCTCCCACACTTCCTCCGGCTATTTTCATGTGCACAAGGAACAATGCTTTGATCCTTGGTATGAAGTGCTGATAGTAGGAATTCAGGCACCATTAGACTGGCTGGTAGGGGAGATATCTTGGGCTGGGAAGGGTGGGGAAGACCTCCCTGCTGCCTCCCTCTCCAGATGCTTCACAGGGCAGCCAGGAGCCCAGCCTTGAGCCCTGAGGCCCTTCTGTGGAGGACTCAGCTGTGGGCCTGGGGACTGCTCGGCCAGGCACATGCACAGGAAGAGGGGAAAGGCTTGGTTTCAGCTTAGTGTGGGCTTCCTGGGGACCTCCCAAGTGTGTCCTCCCCCTTAAAGGTATCCCAGCCTCTGAGGTACTGAGAACAGCTCTGGGGAATCAAAGGCTGGGGCTAGGTGGAATCTTTGGTCTCCCTTCTTGGCTGCTGGGTCTGACCTGGGGCCCATCATTCCAGCTGGCTTGGCCCAGGTCCCAGAGAGTCTGGTTGGTGTGTACTTGGGGCTTGGGCTGGATGCTCTGCTGTGCCCGCATGCTGTGCCAAAGGCCTCTGGGTGTATTTCAGGAACAATAAAGAATAAATCAACATAGGAGAAAAGGCCCTGCAGCAGCTGCTCAGAGACTGGAGAAATGCAAAGAATGTGTGAGCCTTTGGCAAAAGTCTTGCATCTTGACCAGGGCCTGAGGAAGGGCGTGAGGCTGATGTGATGGCTCTGGAGTCAAATGGGCGTCTGTCTGTGCCCAGTTTGCAGCCCTTCTAGGAGGCCCCAGGCAGCCACACTGAGACTCCCCTCCCTCTGCTGGTGGCAAATTTTTTTGCTTCCTGGTCGCTAGCATGTACTAGGGAGCCATATTGCCCCCGTTCTTTACTCTCACACTACACTGCCAGACACCGACCCATCCAACCCCCAAGCACCAGGTGGGTCTTGGCCCTTTCCAGCCCTGACCAGTCAGGAGAGCCTGGGTTGATGAAGACTTGGTAGGCTTGACACACATGCTACACCCCCTGCTTTACCTCCCCCAGACGAATGTCAAGGACCTGGCAATGCCAGGTCTAGGGGTGCTAAGTGTGAGAACATCTACCTGGGAGGCCGTCACTATAGCTCTGCTCAGGTAGTCAGCCATGTGTCCTTAGGCAGGTCATTTTACCTTTGAGGTCTTGGTTCTATGAGCCATGAAATTGAGGTTTGGACAAATGATCTTTGGAGTGAGTGGGCACCTCTGTCTCCTCTACTCGGGATGTGCGATGAATATATTTTATTTAGGAAGTTAAGTTATTGGGAGAAGCAACACTCTGAGAGCACCATGTGGAGATATGGGTGGCTGTGGCTGGGGGCTAATGCTCAGTGTCCTGAGTGGGGGAACCCAAGCAGAGACCTGATTTGACCCAGAGCTCAGGGTGCCAGGAGAAGGGACAGGAGCCTAGACTCCATGGGGACTTGAGTTATCTGACAAGCAGGGGAGAGCCAAGACTTTATTTATTTTTTTGAGACAGAGTTTTGCTCTTGTCGCCCAGGCTGGAGTGCAGTGGTACGATCTTGGCTCACTGCAACCTCTGCCTCCTGGGTTCAAGCGATTCTTCTGCCTCAGCCTCCCGAGTAGCTGGGATTACAGGTGTGCGCCACGATGCCTGGATAATTTTGTATTTTTAGTAGAGACAGAGTTTCTCCATGTTGGTCAGGCTGGTCTCATAAACTCCTGACCTCAGGTGGTCCAGCTGCTTTGGCCTCCCAAAGTGTTGGGATTACAAACGGGAGCCGCTGCATCCGGCCTGGCTTTATTTTTAAAGAGCTGTTGGCTAACCTCAGTTGTGGGGTTGGAGGGTGTGGAAGGGGTGTGACTTCCTCTTAGGCAAAGATGCCGAGCCCTCCACAGGTTGGCCCACTGGAGGTAATCACCTGTAGCCTCTTCACCTTCAAAGCCACTCACCTGCCCGGCCTCTCCCACCCACTTTACCCGACCAGCCACATCTCAGAACATCATGGTGGTTTTCAGGGGCTGAAGCTGCTCTCCAGGGAGCAGACGTGAGCAACCCAGAGGCTGCTGCTGTCTATCCCAGGCAGCCTGGTGTGACCTCCAAGTCTGAAACTCTTGGGGGAGGAAGTTTGCAGAACAGGCAGGCCTAGGTGCCAGTCCTGGCTTTGCCTCTATACTGCTGTGACCTTAGGCAAGTGATTTGACCTAAGGTCTTCTCAGATTTCTTGTTTAGAAAGGAGGAGTAATAATACCTACCTTGATGGCCTGGTGTGGTGGCTCACGCCTGTAATCTCAGCACTTTGGGAGGTTGAGTTGGGAGGATCCCTTGAGGCAAGGAGTTCAAGACCAGCCTGAGCAACAAAGTGAGACTCCATCTCTACAAAAATAATAATGATAATATCTACCTTTCTGTGAGATGATTACACAGGATAATGTGTGTAGTGTGCTTAGCACCATGCCTGGCACATAGTAGCACCTTCAATGGAAATTTTGGAGGTATTGATGAAGCCTTGTTTGTGTGATGTTGGGATAAACCTTGGCTCCATGCTTTGCCCAGTGTCTTGCCAAGTGGTGGGGCCTGCCTAAATGGAGGCATGAAGCATTGTTATTGGAGTCCTTGATTTTGCTCCTGGCTGTGTGTCCTCGGACGAGTTTATTTCCTTCTCTGGACTGCTCTGTGGAACGAGGAATTGGAGTAGGTAAACATTGACATCCCTTGATATTTGGAATCTGTTCAGCTTTCCCAGCTGGGCCCTGCTTTGCCAGTTGGCTCTGAAGAGAGGCCCAAGCCACCTTTCTCCATGTGGCATGGAGGCTTTTATTCCAGAGTGAGATGGTGCTGAGCCTGCAGCCTCCAGCTCACCTCTGCAGTCCCCCATACCTCAACACCCTTTGGGCTCTCTTGGCTTCCAGGGGCTTTTACAGATACCCCCAGTCTGGAGGGGAAACTGTTTCTGGCTGACTGGGGCTAGGATAATTTCTTAAGAGGAGTGTTAATAGACCATGCTGTGCTTGGAAATGCCCCCAGGGAAGAGCAGCAGCTCCGGAGCTGGCTTTGTGAAGTTCTCAAGTGTAGCATTCCTTCTGAGGCCCACCGGTGTAGATTTCAGATTTTTCTGGGAGGGTGGTGGAAAGAGCAAGGACTTGGAAGACACAAGATAAAGATTTGAATCTTGCTTCTGGCTCTGTAACAGCAGAGCCTCAACTTCCCTCTGGAGAATGAGGACATAAGACTCCTCCATAGGAGGTTTATAAGCATGGATTCGAATTTGTAGAGGACCCAGCCCAGCGAAGTACTCGTTAGCTCCCTTCTTTTGGGAAGGATCTGTCTTTTGGATATTTTGTAGATTGGCCATGGAAGTGGAAATATTTGCCTGTGGCCATTTTTCCTAGGGAAAAGCAGGGCTGCCTGACAAGCTGTTGCAATCCCAAAGGCCTCTCCATCCCCTAGTTGTTTTGATGTCGGGATCAAGCTTGGGGTCAGGTTCAATGTGTGTCTGGGAGAGGGGATACCCAGGCCTTTGCAAGTCTGAGCTCTGCGGCTGCCTAGGACTGTGACACCGAAGGTGTGGAGAACATGGGCTGAGGAGGGAGGGGCCTTTCTGAGCTGAGAGAACTTGGCAAGTTACTTTTAACCTTCGTTTCCTGTAAGTTTCCCAAATTTCCTTCGGTTATTGATTTCCAATTTCAACCCGTTTTGATTGGAGAACATACTTTGAGTGATTTCAGTCCCTTTAAATTTGTTGAGACTTGTCTTATGGCCTAATGATGATCTATTGTAGAGAGTGTTCCTTGTGCTATAAATATACATATATATATTTTATATATATATTATATTATATAATATATAAAAAAGTATGTATTTTTTATTTTTTCTGAGACTGGATCTTGGTCTTTCATGCACGCTGGATTGCAGAGGCATGAACACGGCTTACTGCAGCCTCAACCTCCTGGGCCCGAGCAATCCTCCTGCCTCAGCTTCCTGAGTAGCTGGGACTATAGTGGCCACCACACGCAGCTAATTTTTTTTTTTTTTTTTTTTGTAGAGACACGGTCTCGTTTTGTTGCCCAGGCTGGTCTTGAGCTCCTGGGCTCAAGTGATCCTCCTGGCCTTGGCCTCCCAAAATTTTGGGATTACAGGCACCACTGTGCCGGGCCTGCTCTTTTTTAAAAAGAAACAAAAAAACAGTTCACCTACAGCTGCAGTATCTGTGTGCTCTTGAGAAGAGTGTGTATTTGTGTGTATTTTGCTGTTGTTAGGTGGAGTGTTCTATATAGGTCTTCCAGGTCTAATTGGTTTATAGTGTCTAAATCTTCTATTTCCTTGTCGATCTTCTATTTAGTCGTACTGTTCGTTGTTGAAAGTAGAGTGTTTTCTCTCTCTCATGTGTATGTATAAAATAACATGAAAAAAAGTAGAGTATTGAAGTTTCCTACTGTTATTTGAGTTGTTCATTTTTTCCTTTCAATTCTGACAGTTTTTGCTTCATGTATTTTGGGGCTCTGTTGTTAGGTACATGCATGTCTATAACTGGTATAGCCTCCTGAGGGACGGACACTTTGTTCATTATAAAATATTCTTTGTCTATAATAACAGTTTTTGTCTTAAAGTCTATTTTGTCTGATTTTTTTTTTTTTTTTTTTGAGACGGAGTCTAGCTCTGTTGCCCAGGCTGGAGTGCAGTGGCGCGATCTTGGCTCACTGCAGCCTCCACCTCTCAGGTTCAAATAGTTCTCCTGTCTCAGCCTCCTGAGTAGCTGCGATTACAGGTGCCTGCCACCACATATTTTGTCTGATATTAGTATAGCCATTCTAGCTGTCTTTTGGTGACTGTTTACAATGGTATCTCTTTTTCCATCCCTTGCTTTCTTTTTTCTTTTTTGGTACAGAGTCTCACTGTGTTGCCCAGGCTGGAGTGCAGTGGCGCAATCTGGGCTCACTGCAACCTCCACCTCTTGGGTTCAAGCAATTCTCCTACCTCAGCCTCCCGAGTAGCTGGGACTGCAGGCGTGTGTCACCATGCCCTGCTAATTACTTTCAACCTATTTATATCTCTGAATGTAAAGGGTGTTTCTTTTTTTAATGAAATTGCATCTTTTTTAAAGAAGTCTGTTCTGCCATATAATTGCATATTTTTTTAAAAGTCCATTCTGCCAACCTCTGCCTTTTAGATATTTAATCCATTCACATTTAAAGTAATTATGGATAAGGTAGGATTTATGCTGCCATTTTGTGATTTGATTTCTGTATGTCTTATGTCTTTTTTATTCTTTTGTTCTTCTATTACTGTCTTCCTTTATGTTAAATAGATATTTTTGAGTATACCATTCCTGGTCTGTAAATAACGAGACACAGAACAGTAAGGGTTAAACAAAATGCTGCCTGCAATGGACTTAGCACAGTGCCTGGCAAATAGTAAGTGCTCAGTAAACATGGGCACTCAATTGGGTCCCAGGCGTGGTAAGAGCCACAGTTAACCCTAGGACTGGCTGAGAGCAGAGTCCCCTCAGGGCTCTGTGCGACCCCTCATGTCTCCTGGGCAGGCCATAGCACTCTGACAGGTAGTGCCTTTGGGGAATGGGGAGTGGTGGGTCCTGGGAAACTTCACTATGCCAGGCTGTGGCCCTTTAGCCCTTCCCCTGCTCCAGTGCATGGGCACCACCTGGCTGCTTGTGAAGCATCCTAGATTCCCCATCGTGCTCTTCCCACCCCCGACCCCCACCCCACCAGACCCATGAACTAGTCTCTCAGGGTGGGTTTTATTGCACACACTGAGGTTTAAGAACCACTGCTTGACATCCACACAGACGGGTATTGACACAGTGACAGAGAGAGACCTGGTTTGGGGTCAGGAGGCTTAGATTTGAATCTTGACTCCTCAGTCATGAGTTCTGTGAACTGGGACAAGTTACTTTCAGAGCCAGCCTTTCTCGTTTCTCAGTTGGAAATAAGTGGTTATGCAGATAAGCAGTACTCTCGCATATTCGGCATGCAGCTAGTCCTGGTGGCACTTGCTTTTTACAAAGGTGTTTCTTTGGTCCCTGGATACAGGTCTCTTCCCACCCCAGGCTCTTAAGCTCCTCAAAGGCAGGAACCAGTGAGTGGCGGCTCCTGGACCAGACATCTGGTTGGTTACCTGACAAACAGTCCACTGCCCTCCGTCTTGGATCATGTTGTCTCCAGGCCCTGCTGCTCCCAGGCTCTGTGCAGGAACAGAAGGGAATTGAAGAAGCATTATTGGATAGTGGTATAAGAGCATGAAGATTCAGAATGGGTGACAACAATATGTGCTGGAGGGCCAGCTGGAGGAGGTAGGCCTTGAGGGAAAGCAGATTGTGAGAGTGGAGGCAGGGCTTCCAGGCAGAAGGAACAGCTCTAGGGGAGGCTCAAAGTCAGGGAGCTCCCCCAGGGGTTGCCTGTCCCCAGGGGTCACTTACCCCTAGTCCCTGCACGGGCTTCCTTGCATTATAATTAGCGTGTGTTTCTGTTTCTCTGTCTCCCCACCGGCCTGGAAGCTCTGTGTCTCCTGTGTCTCCCAGAGCCTGGCTTGCAGCAAGTGCTCAGCAAATGCTTGTGGAGCAGATGAAGGGTCAGCAGGCCCACCTGCAGAGCTGCAGCAGGGAGGGTGTGTGGTGGGGGAGTGGGCAGGGCAAGGCAATGGCAAGGGAGGCCCCTGTGAGTGGCCTCATCTGTATCTTTGGCCCAGGGCAGAGTCTGGCACTGGGGTGCTCAGGCACAGACTTCAGAGAGCCCTGCTCTAGCCCTGCTGGGGAGCCAGGCCTTTCCAGAAGGGAAGGGAGGTAGTGCAGCAGCCTCCAGTGGTGGGAGCTGTATAGGGCATAGAGACTGTTTTGAGGAGACAGAGCAAGGACCCCAGCGGTCCCAGGAGGCCCTCACCAGAGGGCCTCAGGAACATCTGCTGAGTCTCCTGCGGAGGAAGCCTAAACCTGCCTGCTTCTACCCTACTCCTGCTGGGATCCCTGGGTCCTGTTGGAATGGGTTTTCCAGGGCTGCCTGTGACTCTTCGTGGCCTTTGCCTAGGAGGAAGGCAGGCAGTCCCTTCAGTGCAGGCAAAAGCTGAGCCTGGAGGCTTAATCCTTTTCTGGCTTTGCTCATGACTGTTTTCTCTCTGCATTAGCAGCCCCCACCTCCCCCACCCCTGGCAAAACAAACCTGGCTATCCCAGCTTCCCATGGACACCCTGTGGGCATTTGTGGGGCTATGGGGGAGGGAGGCAATCAAGGTAGAAGACTGGACGGAGCCCTGAGAGTGCCTCATAAGCCCTGAAAGGATTCCTCTCTTACACATCCCTTTAAAAGCATCTCAGTGGTTGGCATTTTTACTGTGTAAGCTCAAACTTCAGGCAGCTTGAACCCTGGCCAAGCTTCTGATCCTGAGCAGCTTGATGGCTGAGACCCCTGGGACTCGTGACTCTCTGGCCTGTTGGCCTGGGCTCTGCTTTTCAGAGCTGAAGTTCAGTCCAGAGAAGTGATGGTCCAGGGACTGTCTGGATTGGGAATGGGCCGACCATAGGGCCTCTTGCCTGCTCTCTCATGCTCCCAGGGAAAATGACACTTGTGGGAGTCAGATCCACGTCTGTTGTATCAGAGCCTCCTTGTTTGCAAACCCCTTGAGAATAGTGCTTATGTGTCCAGTGGCTTGCAGAAATGGGGTACACTGGCCTTTGTGTGAAGTCCCAGTTGGTGGGGGTGCATGTAGCATTGCAGATGGGGTCCAGAGGGAAGGTTTGTCTAGGGCCTGGGCAACTCTAGCTGGCCCAAGATGGCAGTTCCAGGCCATTTACCGAGTCTGGCTATAGCTGGAGACCCCAGAATGTCTGAGAGAGCTTTTCAGGATGTGAGCCCAGATGAGGGGGCCAGCTGGGCCATGCTGTGCTCCTCTGGTGGGGGTGGCAGGGACTTGTTATGGCTCCCTGGCATCCTGGCCAGACCTTAGTGTCTTGAGGTCCAGCCATGTCAGGGCATGAGGTAAACAGACCCACAGGCTTGTGTCCCTGGCCACTGTCTAGGTGGGGGTAGAAGCCTAGAAAAGTGGGGTGGAGGGCAACAGTGGAGCTGGCACTTTTCCAGTTGGCCTGCATGTGTTGTGGGGCAGCAGGTGACAGTCAAGGGCAGGTGGCTTGTGGGCCAGCAGGGAGAAGGACTTGTGTTCCACATAGGTGTAGAGGGCCTGGGGCCAGGGGTAGGGTGGGATCCCGGGCTGGGCCTTTTCACTTCATCCCAGCATCTTGAGGAGCTCTCATGTGCACCAGAGAGCCCAGAAGTCAGGAGCAGGCAGGAGCCCAGGGCAGGAATGCGGGCTGTGTCGCCTCTGCCCAGGTGTGGCTCTGACTCACCTTGGGCGCAGTCTTGAATGAGCATCCTGACAGGCAGATACAAACCAAGTGCCAAGGTACAACGGTCTGCCAACCCTGCCCCGTGGAGCCTGCTGTCTGCTGGGGATGACAAAGCAGGCACCTGGGATTTAGTGTGCCATATACAGTGTGTTATAGGGGCTTGTAGTTCAGCTCCTGTCTCAGCTCTGGGGTCAGGTTTCCCAGTGGAAGCAGTGTCTGCAACCTGAAGGATTAATAGGACCTGGCCTGATGAAAAGAGTGAGAAGGTGTCCTAGGAAGGGGTACAGCCTGGCCAAAGACCTGGAAGCAAAGCGAGAAGAACACGTTGGAGGCCCTGGCTCAAGCACAGACTGTCGAGAGAGGTGGCAGGAGCCAAGGTCTGCAGGGACTTGTGGACAGGGCAGGGAGTTTAGACTTTGTCCTAAGACAGCTCAGAGAACTGACTCGCCTGGAGACTCAGTTTGGGCCTGTCTTGCCCTTGGGTGACAGACCCATGATCTTTGACTCCCCTCTTCCTAGTGCTGAGCTTGTGGGGCCTGCCCAGGCTATAAGAGTGGGAGCTTGGAGCATTAGCCTCCAAGGGCAGGGGGCCCTCGGGTCAGCTGTTATCCCCAGGTCAGAGCTGAGCCCCCGCAGCTGCTGAGATCAACTTGGCATCTCCTCCCTGGTCTGTGTGGCCTTGACTCACAATAGTCTTTTTTCTCAAATGGACACACTGATTGCCCCAAGCAGACTGGTGAGTGGCCCTGGTCCCACAGTGGCCACAGTCTGGCCCCTTGCCCTGTGGTGATGGCTCTCTGGCTTCTCCTGGGGTCAGCCAGCCAGTGTTGGGTGTGCAGCTGGGCTGCCGATGGCATTTGGGGAGCAGTGTGTGTTTGAGCTGACATCCCAGGAGAGCTGGTGTCACCATCAGCATTGAACACCCAAAGGCCTTTCCAGCACCTTCCCCTCATGTGTCTGCAAAACATATATGTGGGGTCAGCACTGTTTTTTATTTTTTTTTCCTGGTGCACACTGCTTTCTTCTATAGAGAGTAAGTGCTACTCACCATAGAACTTCCTGAAAGCCTGCTAGGTCCCAGGCCTTGGTCTTGATTGTTGCCTTGTCTTTGGCCCAGGGGTACCTGTGGGTCTGGTCAAGGATTGGTTGCTGCAGAGAGGAGCCTGGAGGAAGGGAAAAGTGAATAGAGCGTGACAGTCAAACAGACTGACAGGGCGGGTTGCCGTGTCTGGGGCCCCGTGGTGACTGTGGGTTTCCTTTTGCAGTGTTCCTGCATCCGTTGTCAGAGGCCCTGCAGCTGGTCCCAGGGCTGAGCTGCTGGCAGGAGTTCCTCATGACATCCTCTTCCCTGCAATCTCAGGGACTAGGCCCACAGGTCAGCAGCCTTTGGAGGTGTCGTCCTTCCTCTTCCTCACTGTGAGGAAGGGCAGTTTGATTTCCATCTGAGGGACAGGGCAGCGGGGGTGGGGTAGAAGAAATGAGAGGAAGTGGCGCAGTCCTGACCCCGAGTTGCAGGCTGGGAGAAGCCCATGGGGTCTGAGAGCTGGAGGCACCACCAGCAGCAACTGAGCCCGGGGTGGGGTTGCAGGAGCTGGAGAGTCCAGGCCTAGATCGGGGGCTAGAGTGGCCAGTGCAGGAGGAAGTGTTTCAGGCCTCCCTGCAGGTAGACCTCACACATCTGCTGACCCCTCTGTGGTGAGACCTTTTCCTGCTCTCCCTTCCTGGAAGGCCAAGGGTCTCAGCTGTATTTGGGGAGAATGGGAGAGAGTACCTGCCAAAGGTTCAGGCAGGGGTAAGGGGCTTCCCAGTGCCAATGAGAAGGGATATCTGATATCTGTGTCTAGAAAATCCTTGCTTGGAGGTGGTGTAGAGTGTGCTGTGGAAGGGAGGTGTATGAAGAGGGGTCTGGGGTCTTAGTGGCATATCTTGGGGATAAGGAAGAAGAGCTTGATCTTAGAGTCAGACAGATCTGGGTTCCAGTCTTGGCTCTGCAACATAATGACTGTGTGACCGTAGGCAACTTACTTAGCTCCTCTGAGCCTCATCTAGCTAACCTGTAAATAGAGGTTAAAATCGCAACTCCTGCCTTATAAGGCCATGGTGGGAATTTAAAGGATATAAAGCACGTAGGATCTGCCTGGCACGGGTGCACCATCACCATCATCATTACTCCTATGACTACTTAGTGCCCTGCTGCCTAGGTGTGCCTCTTCACCCTTCCTCCCAGGCTGCCAGTATCTTCCACTCTTCTCCCCACCCCCAGCCGATGACCTTTCTTCTCTGAGGGTCCCAGGCCTGACTGTCTGTGCCCCTGGCACCCTTAGCTCTTCGGTGAGGGTGACAGGGAGGCCTCTGCAGCAAGAAGTTTCTGGGGTGATTCAGCCTTCCCCAAACCAGGCCCCCTGATTTCTTCAAAGCAAGTCCCTGTCTGAGCTTCAGAGGCTGCTGTGGTATCCTGAATGATGGCCCTCCTTGATGTGCAGGGTGGGAGTGGGAGGCTTCCCAGCTGAGCTCAGCTCCTCCAGGGCTGACCATACAGCTGTGGGTAAGCCCCTGTAAGACCTGCATCTGGCCTCTGGCCCCTGCCCTGGGCAGAAGCAGGCTTGTCCTGGAGCCGCAGGCCCCGCCTCATCTCCTTCTGAGCAGCCATCCCCATGGAGGGGGCGCACCCCTCCATCAGGTTCACACTGGCACGTGCATCCAGGCCCACCCGCCACGTGGACCTTCCCTTGCTCCAGGCCTCAAGCCCGTGCTGTGGCTCACAAGGAGACAGGGCTGTGATGAAGGGAGGCGTGAGTGTGTGTGAGCGCCCACTGGAGGGGCTCGCAGCCCCCTGGAGGCACGTGGGCTTGCCAGGCTGGCGCACATTCTTCCTTTCTCTGTCTTGCTTCTGCAGACACGCACTTCTAGTTCTGTGGGCTTGATGTTCCCTCGGAGAGGCGGAGCCAGACAGTCCCACCCTGCAGCTTCATGGGGGTGCCCAGGGTGATTTTCAGTGCAGGGTTTAGCTTTTGGGTTCCTGCTCTGAATTAGGTTGGCTGTCAGGGAATGCGGGTTTAAAAGCAAGAGAAAGGTTGTTTCTGCAGCCCGCAGCTCTGCACTTCTTGTCCAAATCCCCCCACTCCCCTCTTGCTGGGGGTGAGGGTGACTTGGATGCCCTCCTAGTCTCTGTGCCTCTCCCTCCCTCCAGCTTCATATATGAAAAGACAAAGGCTGCACACGAGGAGGGTCTCTTACTCTCTTCAAGGCCCAGGAGCTGAGGAAGGAAATGGAGGAGGAAATTACTCCCCTTCTGGGTGCTGGGTGAAAGTGAAAGATAGGGAGGGGGCCCTCAGTGAGTCACGCAGGCGGGCAGGAGGCAGGCAGGCTCCAGGAGCACAGGGGCTGGGGAGCTGCGGAAGCCTGCAGAGGAGCGATAGCCTGGGAGGGGCATTCCTGGTGCTGGGGGTGGGCCGAACTGCAAACTGGGTATAGTCGGGACCCTGTGCCCGCCCAGCCCTGCCCTCCGCTGCTGCTGGCTGGTTTCCTGGGAGCGGCTGGGGTTGCTAACAATGACCTGTAGCATCTAGGGCCTGAGATTTCCTCTTCAGAGCCGCCCGAGCTGTTTTCCCCTCTTCCTAGGGACCAGAATCTTACTGGGGAAAGAGGTGGGCTATGTAGCTCCCACCCCCACCAACTTCCCAGGAAAAAAACAAAACCCAAACATCACTCTGAGGGAAAGAAAAGTCTTGAAAAATACATGCAAGCAGCTATGCTATAAAATACAGGTCTAGATTCTGTTCTGTAGCGACTGCTTTAAAAAATCAAGTTACGAAACAAAAATGGAAAAACTGTGTACTTAAGTCATGACATTATCGTGGAGAAACCTTCTGGAACTGAGTTCTAGCAATCTGCACCCTCTACGATCTGAGTTACACTATTTGCCAGGGGCTCTTCGGCAGTGGAAGGGGCAGGGGTCAGGCAGGGGCGGGGTCAGCTGCTGACCAGCTCTTGGCCTGGATCCTGCCTCCACCCTGCCAGGGTTGCAAAACAGGTTCTGTGCTAGTTTGGGAAAGACTCTGGCAGCCACAGCCCCACCCAGCAGCTCTTCCCAGGGGTGGGGCTAGGACTGCACACACCCTTCTGGGGCCTTACCTGCAGGCCTTGGTGAGCCTGACCCTGGGCCCCTGACTCTACAAGGGTCTGTTGGAGCTCCTGACTCTGGGGCTGCACAGGAGGAGTGGCCACGTCGGGAATGACCCTGTCCTCTCCACTTCCCGAGCCTGAGATGTGCTTGGAGTGTCAGAGGAGGCACTGGCTGGACAAAGATCCTTCTGGGTCTGGTGGGAGGCTCCTGCATAGACAGATGTGTGCCAGGAGGACTAGGCCTGGCTGCCCAGGGGGCTAGGGCCTGGGTAAGAGGAGAGGGGAGCCAGTGTGGCTTTTGCTGCCTCTTTCTCAGCTGGGCTGGAGGGGCTTGGGCTGGATGTCAGCTCCACCTGTGCCTTAGAATGTGCCTATGCAGTGCACAAATAACACAGACAGATGCAGGCAGTCCTGGAGCGGAACCAGGAGGGTGAGGTGGTGGGACAAGAGAGTCACAGTGCCCTGGGAGATGCAGCTGATTCTCCTGCCCTCCTGGCAGCTCCCCAAAAGTCCTGGCTCCTGCCTCACCAATGCTGCTCTGTGACTTGGGGCCTGTCCCTGTGATATGAGGTGGTGGGACCGAAGGCCCTTGGAGCCCCTTTTCTTACACTTGTGCTGATGTTCGGGGCATCCTGGGAGGCTGTGGCTGACACTGTCACTGCTCTTCCCTCTGCAGGTGCCAGAACCCTGTGGAGCATCATGAACTGGGAAGAGTAGCTGAGCCCCAGAGCCTCTCTGGAAGAGAAAGGAAGAGCCAGCAGTTCTTTCTCCCAGTGTCCGACCTCACTGTCCAGCGTCTTCCTCTGCCCCTGCTCTGCCCTCCCTGGCTCCTGGACTAGAGCCCGGCTTCCAGCAGGACGTTTCCCCAGGGGATGGGCGACTGTTGAAGGGGATCTCACCGCCAGGGCTCAGTTGGCCACATCATGAACCTCCAGGCCCAGCCCAAGGCTCAGAACAAGCGGAAGCGTTGCCTCTTCGGGGGCCAGGAACCAGCTCCCAAGGAGCAGCCCCCTCCCCTGCAGCCCCCCCAGCAGTCCATCAGAGTGAAGGAGGAGCAGTACCTCGGGCACGAGGGTCCAGGAGGGGCAGTCTCCACCTCTCAGCCTGTGGAACTGCCCCCTCCTAGCAGCCTGGCCCTGCTGAACTCTGTGGTATATGGGCCTGAGCGGACCTCAGCAGCCATGCTGTCCCAGCAGGTGGCCTCAGTAAAGTGGCCCAACTCTGTGATGGCTCCAGGGCGGGGCCCGGAGCGTGGAGGAGGTGGGGGTGTCAGTGACAGCAGCTGGCAGCAGCAGCCAGGCCAGCCTCCACCCCATTCAACATGGAACTGCCACAGTCTGTCCCTCTACAGTGCAACCAAGGGGAGCCCGCATCCTGGAGTGGGAGTCCCGACTTACTATAACCACCCTGAGGCACTGAAGCGGGAGAAAGCGGGGGGCCCACAGCTGGACCGCTATGTGCGACCAATGATGCCACAGAAGGTGCAGCTGGAGGTAGGGCGGCCCCAGGCACCCCTGAATTCTTTCCACGCAGCCAAGAAACCCCCAAACCAGTCACTGCCCCTGCAACCCTTCCAGCTGGCATTCGGCCACCAGGTGAACCGGCAGGTCTTCCGGCAGGGCCCACCGCCCCCAAACCCGGTGGCTGCCTTCCCTCCACAGAAGCAGCAGCAGCAGCAGCAACCACAGCAGCAGCAGCAGCAGCAGCAGGCAGCCCTACCCCAGATGCCGCTCTTTGAGAACTTCTATTCCATGCCGCAGCAACCCTCGCAGCAACCCCAGGACTTTGGCCTGCAGCCAGCTGGGCCACTGGGACAGTCCCACCTGGCTCACCACAGCATGGCACCCTACCCCTTCCCCCCCAACCCAGATATGAACCCAGAACTGCGCAAGGCCCTTCTGCAGGACTCAGCCCCGCAGCCAGCGCTACCTCAGGTCCAGATCCCCTTCCCCCGCCGCTCCCGCCGCCTCTCTAAGGAGGGTATCCTGCCTCCCAGCGCCCTGGATGGGGCTGGCACCCAGCCTGGGCAGGAGGCCACTGGCAACCTGTTCCTACATCACTGGCCCCTGCAGCAGCCGCCACCTGGCTCCCTGGGGCAGCCCCATCCTGAAGCTCTGGGATTCCCGCTGGAGCTGAGGGAGTCGCAGCTACTGCCTGATGGGGAGAGACTAGCACCCAATGGCCGGGAGCGAGAGGCTCCTGCCATGGGCAGCGAGGAGGGCATGAGGGCAGTGAGCACAGGGGACTGTGGGCAGGTGCTACGGGGCGGAGTGATCCAGAGCACGCGACGGAGGCGCCGGGCATCCCAGGAGGCCAATTTGCTGACCCTGGCCCAGAAGGCTGTGGAGCTGGCCTCACTGCAGAATGCAAAGGTGAGAGTGGCATGCAGTGGAGCCACACCTGGCAGAGGGCATCAGGCTGATAGGTGGGCGGCTGCAGGATTTGCTTCTTGCCTAGGGAAAGCCAGACTTTGCCCTAGCCAGCTGCCTGTGGGAAAACAGTACAAAGACCACCCTTCACCTTGCCACAGGGTTCTTGCTTACTTTCTTTTGCAGAAATATTTTTTGAATAATTAGATACTATTTCAGATACAGATAGATACAGATCACCGGGTTCAAGTGATTCTCCAGCCTCAGCCTCCCCGAGTAGCTGGGATTACAGGCGCCTGCCACCATGCCTGGCTAATTTTTGTATTTTTAGTAGAGACAGGGTTTTACCATGTTGGTCAGGCTGGTCTCGAACTCCTGACCTCGTGATCTGCCTGCCTCAGCCCCCCAAAGTGCTAGGATTACAGGCGTGAGCCACCGTGTCCAGCCAGAAGCACTTTCTATAGAAGAGAACAGTGTGAGGCTAGGCGCAGTGGCTTATGCCTATAATCCCAGCACTTTGGGAGGCCAAGGTGGGTGGATCACTTGAGGTCAGGAGTTGGGAGACCAGCCTGGCCAACACAGCAAAACCCTATCTCTACCAAAAAACACAAAAATTAGCCAGGTGTGGTACTGCACGCCTGTAATCCCAGCTACTGGGGAGGCTGAGGTGGGAGAATCATTAGAACCTGGGAGGCAGAGGTTGCAGTGAACCAAGATTGTGCCACTGCACTACAACCTGGGTGACAGAGTGAGACCCCCTGTCTCCAAAAAAAAAAAAAAAAAAAAAAAGTGGTCGGAGAAAAGGTAGTCAGGGAAAAAGGTCAAGTTGTGAGACCACTGGGAGCCACTGTGGGTGTTTGAGTCCCGTGACTAAATGGGAATGAGGGTCCTAGATCAAATCAGAATTTATCTTTTATTTGTTTATTTATTTATTATTGAGACAGGGTCTCACTCTGTCACCCAGGCTGGAGTGCAGTGGTTCGATCTCGGCTCACCGCAGCCTTAACTTCCTGGGCTCAGGCAATCCTCCCACCTCTGCCTCCCAAGTAGCTGGGACCACAGGAGTTTGCCACCATGCCCAGCTAATTTTGTTTTATTTTCTGTAGAGACGAGGTGTCACTATGTTGCCCAGGCTGGTCTTGAACTTGTGGCGTCAAGTGATCCTTTAATCTTGTCCTCCCAAAGTGCAGGAATTATAGGCGTGAGCCACTGCGCCTGGCTATGACTTACCTTTTAAATTGCACTTCTGTTCCCATCTTGTCCAGGATGGCAGTGGTTCTGAAGAGAAGCGGAAAAGTGTATTGGCCTCAACTACCAAGTGTGGGGTGGAGTTTTCTGAGCCTTCCTTAGCCACCAAGCGAGCACGAGAAGACAGTGGGATGGTACCCCTCATCATCCCAGTGTCTGTGCCTGTGCGAACTGTGGACCCAACTGAGGCAGCCCAGGCTGGAGGTCTTGATGAGGACGGGAAGGGTCCTGAACAGAACCCTGCTGAGCACAAGCCATCAGTCATCGTCACCCGCAGGCGGTCCACCCGAATCCCCGGGACAGATGCTCAAGCTCAGGTATGAGAGGCGCCCCTTCTAAACACCTCCAGCGCGTGAGTGCTCAGGGGGCCCAGGACCCTATGGGGAAAGGAGAACATGGCAATGTAGGAAGGTATCAGGGAACCTGTGGAGATACTATTTTTATTTTCCAAACCAAACTTCTGGACAGACGTCCAGAAGGGGCATTTGGAGATGTCCCCCTCCTAATGGGGGATGAGACAGTTTTATACTTGAAATTGAAACTGCCTAGAATTGAATTCTAGGTTGTGTACATCTCTTTTTCCAGATCAGCAAATTCTGATTTGGCCCGTGCTGGGTGCTGGGAATGAGAGGTGTTTGCTTGTACTGTCACTACTGAGATCTTGACATCTTTTTTTTTTTTTCTGAGGCAGAGTCTTGCTCTGTCACCCAGGCTGGAGTGTAGTGGCGCAATCTCGGCTCACTGCAACCTCCGCCTCCTGGGTTCACACCATTCTCCTGCCTCAGCCTCCCGAGTAGCTGGGACTATAGGCGCCCACCACCGCGCCCAGCTAATTTTTTGTATTTTTAGTAGAGATGGGGTTTCACCATGTTAGCCAGGATGGTCTCGATCTCCTGACCTCGTGATCCGCCCACCTCAGCCTCCTAGAGTTTTGGGATTACAGGTGTGAGCCACCGCGCCTGGCCGACATCTCCTTCTAAGATTGAGGTTTTGCCTACTTTTTCTTTAGGTTCTGTCATCATTTGTTTTATACATTTTGATGCAATGTTATTAGGTGCTCATTTAGAACTAGGTTAGATACTTTATGAAGTTTCTTTTTATCTTAAATATTCTTTTTGCCTTTTATTCTCATTTTATTCTTATTTATTTTATTTTATTTTTTTGAGATAGAGTTTCGCTCTTGTCCTCCAGGCTGGAGTGCAATGGCGAGATCTCAGCTCACTGCAACCTCCTGGGTTCAAGAGATTCTCCTGCCTCAGCCTCCTTAGTAGCTGGGATTACAGGCATGCATCACGAAGCCTGGCTAATTTTCGTATTTTTAGTAGAGGCGGGGTTTCACCATGTTGGCCAGGTTAGTCTTGAACTCCTGACCTCAAGTGACCTGCCCGCCTTGGCCTCCCAAAGTGTTAGGATTGCAGAGGTGGGCCACCGCACCCGGCCAATTCTTACTTTACATGAGTAAAGTTATGAGATACAAGTGTGATTTTGTAACACGCATAGATGGTGTAGTGGTGAAGTCAGGGCTATCAGGGTATCCATATCTATTCCCCAAATAATGCACATTGTACCTATTAAGTAATTTCTCATCATCCACCCTTTTTGTCTTTTAAAGTCAGGTTTGTCTGATATCTTGCTTGCTTTTGGTTAGAATCTGCAGGGTGCATCTTCTCCCATCATTTACTGTTATCTTTTCTGTATCCTTCTACTTAAGGTGTATCTTTCAAGTGGCATACATTGGGATTTGTTATTATCCAGTCTTTTAGAGAATTGATACAGTTTATATCTTTCTATTTATTTAAAAATTAACATAAAGTCTGGGCACAGTGGCTCACATCTGTAATCCCAGCACTTTGGGAAGCCAAGGCAGGTGGATCACTTGAGGCCAGCAGTTCAAGACCAGCCTGACCAACATGGCGAAACCCCATTTGTACAAAAATAGAATAAAATAAAATTAACATAAAAAGAATACATATTTATGGCATACAACATGATGCTTTGATATAATCAAGCTAATTAACATACCCATTACCTCAAATCTTATTTTTTTGTGGTGAGAACATTTAAAATCTGCTCTTTTAGCTATTTTGAAGTGTATAATACACTGTTACTAATGATAGTCATCATGTTATACAATAGATTTCCTGAACTTATTCTTTTTTCCTAACTGAAATTATATTTCGTTTGACCAGCATCTCCCCAGTCCCCGCCCCATCCCCTAACCCTTGGTAACCACCATTCTACTTTATGTTTCTTTGAATTCACCTTAAGATTCCACTGATACAGTTTGCATTTAATGTAATTACTTAAATACTTGGGTTAAAAGTTGCCATCTACTGTTAGCTGTTTCCCATCTTGCCTTTCCCATGTTCTCCTTTGGATTGATTTGATTTGTTATCCCATTTCCCCATTTTGTTAATTTATTAGTTATATTCTTGCATACTGCTCTTTTCATGATTACCCCAGCATTCTTCTTACCCGTATTTCTTCAAGAGAACTAAGCCCTACAGAAAGGGATTTGAGCAACTATTTCCTCCATTATCTGAAGGATGGGACATAGCTAGTACCATTTAAAAATGCACAGGAGGCCAGGTGCAGTGGGTTATGCCTGCAATCACAGCACTTTGGGGGGGCCAAGGCAGGAGGATCGCTTGAGCCCAGGAGTTCGAGACCAGCCTGGGCAACACAAGGAGAGACCCCATCTCTACAAAAAAACAAAAAACAAAACAACAACAACAAAAGATTAGCTGGGTGTGGTGGTGCACACCTGTAGTCCCAGTTTCTCAGGAGGCTGAGGTGGGAGGATCGCTTGAGCCCAAGAGGCCAAGGCTGCAGGGAGCTGTGATTGTGCCACTGCACTCCAGCCTGTGTGACAAAGTGAGACCCCTTTTCAAAACAAAACAAAAACAAAAAACCCAAACCCTGTTAAATGCATAGGAAAGAATTTAACTTATTATGTATAGTGAATGCCTAATGACATCAGGACTTAGCTCTTTGGTCAAGAAGAGTTGCTAGATATTAAAACATGTATCCTGGGCCGGGGGCAGTGGCTCACGTCTGTAATCCCAGCACTTTGGGAGGCCATGGTGGGCGGATCACGAGGTCAAGAGATCGAGACCATCCTGGCCAACATGGTGAAACCCCGTCTCTACTAAAAATATAAAAATTAGCTGGGCGTGGTGGTGTGCACCTGTAATCCCAGCTACTTGGGAGGCTGAGGCAGGAGAATCGCTTGAACCCGGGAGGCAGAGGTTGCAGTGAGCCAAGATCATGCCACTGCACTCCAGCCTGGGCAACAGAGCGAGACTCCATCTCACACAAAACAAAACATGTATCCTGGCTCACGCCTGTAATCTCAGCACTTTGGAAGGCCAAGGCGGGTGGATCACAAGGCCAGTAGTTCAAGACCAGCCTGGCCAACATAGTGAAACCCCGTCTCTACTAAAAATATAAAAATTAGCCGGGCATGATGGTGTGTGCCTGTAATCCCAGCTACTCAGGAAGCTGAGGCAAGAGAATCGCTTGAACCTGGGAGGTGGAGGTTGTAGTAAGCCAAGATCGTACCACTGCACTCCAGCTTGGGCAACAGAGTGAGACTTCGTCTCAAACAAAAACAGAAGAAAACATGCATCCTTGGCTTTTAGAAATCTGTTAGTACTTTTAGCTCTTCCTGGACAATGCAAAGTTCTTGTTTTTGTTTCTGGGTTTTTTGGGCGGGGGCAGGGGTTTGAGATGGAGTCTCACTCTGTTGTGCAGGCTGGAGTGCAGTGGCATGATCTCAGCTCACTGCAGCCTCCGCCTCCCAGGTTCAAGCGATTCTTCTGCCTCAGCCTCCTGAGTAGCTGGGACTACAGGTGCAGGCCACCACGCCAGCTAATTTTTTTGTACTTTTAGTAGAGATGGGGTTTCACCATGTTGGCCTGGCTGGTCTTGAATTCGTGACCTCAGGTGATCCACCTGCCTTGGCCTCCCAAAGTGCTGGGATTACAGGTGTAAGCCACCTCACCCGGCCCTGAATTACTTTAATCAGAGGTTGAAATGAGATGATTTGAAGCTAGGCTTTATTCCATATAAGGACCAGCCTATTTCTGATTCACCTTTATTCTGAATGAAAGTGAGTATCAGCCCTTTTTGGAGTCCCAATCCAAAGCCTGGGGGTTTGCCAAGCTCTCCTTCCTTGGCGAGCCCTAAACTTCAGCTTTGTTTTTTATTTTCTTTTTTTTTTGAGACGGGGTTTCGCCCTTGTGGCTCAGGCCGGAGTGCAATGGCTCAATCTCAGCTCACTGCAACCTCCGCCTCCTGGGTTCAAGCAATTCTCCTGCCTCAGCCTCCTTAGTAGCTGGGATTACAGGTGCCCACCACCACACCCAGCTAATTTTTTGTATTTTTAGTAGAGATGGGGTTTCACTATGTTGGCCAGGCTGGTCTCGAACTCCTGACCTCAGGCGATCCACCTGCCTCAGCCTCCCAAAGTGCTGGGATTATAGGCGTGAGCCACTGCACCCAGCCTTTTTTTTTTTTTTTTTTTTTTTGAGAGGGAGTCTCACTGTGTCACCCCGGCTAGAGTGCAGTGGCATGTTCTCCACTCACTGCAACCTCCGTCTTCTGGGTTCAAGGAATTCTTCTGCCTCAGCCTCCTGAGTTGCTGGGATTACAGGCGCCCACCACCATGCCCAGCCAATTTTTGTATCTTTAGTAGAGATGGGGTTTTGCCATGTTGGCCAGGCTGGTCTCCAACTCCTGACTTCAGGTGATCCACCCACCTTGGCCTCCCAAAGTGCTGAGATTACAGGCGTGAGCCACCACACCTGGACAAACCTCAGTTTTTATTGTGTCAGTTCCTTAAATTTCTTAAAAGCTCTTCTCAGTTTCTCAGCCTCTCAGTTGCCTTTTCCAGTAATAGCATTCACCTCTAGGGAAAACGCAGCTTCAAATACTGGGCTCACCTCTTTAGCTTTCTTTTTTTTCACCTAGATCTTGGCTCTTTAATTCTTTGCCAACCTATTTGTCCTCTGATATCTTCAGAAATGTGTTTTGCACATCGAGTCCAGATTTTCTGGTTATTCTCAGCTGGAGAGTTGGCCTGCATGCCTCTAATAGGCAGGGGAGCGTCACAGTCTCTGCTCTCTGGGTTCTTGTTCTCTGGTTGAGGAAAAGTTTGTGGTAGAGGCTGGAGGCCTGGGCAGCTTGTTCTGAGACAGGAAGGAGCCTGAGCAGCTCCACAGCTCAATGCCTCTATTTTATAGATGAGGAGCTAGGTCCAGAAAAGACAAGAGACTGACCTAAGGTCATACAGCCAAGTAATGGTAGAGCTAGCCCTAGAATTTGGATCTCCTCAATCCCTGCCTGTGAGTACTTGTACTACACCAGGCTTTGGGGGGAGGTTTGTGTTTTGTTATTTGTTTATTTCATTCATTATTTATTATTCTTTGTACTACAGATACTTTCTTTCATGCATAAAAGTAGAGAGGAGTATAATGAATGCCAGTGTTTAGCCATCACCCAGATTTCACAGTTATCAAAACATAGCCAATCTTGTTTCACCTGTGCCTCTGCTTCTCCATGCCACTGGGTTATTTTGAAGCACATCCTGAGACATCGTGTCATTCCATCCGTGTATACTTCAGTTTGTATCTGAAATACGTCAGGACTCTTTCTTCTCCAACATTATCTCAATAGCATTACCACACCTAAAAAATGAACATGACTATTTTTGTCAGATATTCAGAATAGTTTAAATCCCTTATTATAAAATTACAAATCATTACAGCTAGCTGATTTTTTGTTAGATTTCTTGTCAAGAAAGTTTGGGGGGCCTTTGGCTCCTGCATTTTTTTTTTTTTCTGTGCAATCATATTGTTTTCCTAAGGGAAGAAGAACGAACAGTTTCATTTCATCCCAATTTGTAGAAGGGAAAAGAGGGCACAGATGGGTGAAGGACATGGCCAGAGCCTCAGAGGGAGTCAGGGCCCTCTGCTGGAATGTGTTTATGGGAGCCAGAACCTTGGCAGGGAGACAGCTCATTATTTTAAGGCCCACTCTGTCAACATGGCCAACCTTACCTGTTGTACTGAGTACGCAGAGGGATAAACTGGGTGCTGCTCACCCTGTAGGGCTCCATTCTCTGCCTTTGAGATTATAGGAATCGAGCAAGGGAAGGCCTCTGTTCTCTTATAGTCCTGCTTTCTATTCTAGATAGAGGCCCATGAGGCGTACCTAGCAGGGAGAAGTAGGAGGGCTAACCTTTGGCAGTGTGCATGGGCTAGACTTTCCTAGTAGGATTAATACTATGAGAACAAAAGTTCTGCAAGGACAAGGACTGTCCATTCCATTTTTTTTTCTTTTTCCTTTTTGTTTTTTGAGACGGAATCCAGTTCTGTTGCCCAGGCTAGAGTGCAGTGGCACGACCTTGGCTCACTGCAACCTCCACCTCCCGGGTTCAAGTGATTCTCATGCCTCAGCCTCCTGAGTAGCTGAAATTACAGGCACCCGCCACCATGCCCGGCTAATTTTTGTGTTTTAGTAGAGGCAGGGTTTTGCCATGTTGGCCAGGCTGGTCTCGAACTCCTGACCTCAAGTGATCCCCTCCCCCCCACCTCGACCTCCCAAAGTGCTGAGATTACCACGCCCGGCCTTGTCCATTCCATTTTGTAGTCCCATGTCCAGCTCAGGTCTTAGCACGCAGTAGGAGCTTTCATCTAACGCAGAGCCTGGAGTTTAAGTAGTGATAACAGCCAATATTTACTGAGGTACCAGGTAATGTTCTCAGTGATTTCCTTGTATTAATTCATGCAGTCCTCATGGTTACCCCATGAAGTAGGCACTTACTAGGTAGGCACCATGTTATGAAGATGCACGGAAAGATTGAGTAATTTTCAGTGGCAATAAAGGTGGTAGGTCCCAACCCAAGAAGTCCAGCTCCAGAGCCTGGGCCCTGAACTACTGTACTCTCCTGCCCTGTCACACACTTTACAGCAGAGGTGGGGAACTGTGGTCTGGGGGCCAGATCCAGAGCTAAGAATGTGTTACAATTTTATACAGTTAGTTTTAAAAAGAAAAAGGGAAAGAAGAGGAATATGTAACAGAGATCACATGTGGCCCACAAAGCCTAAAATATTTACTCTCTGGCCCCTTACAGAAAAAGTTTGCTGACTTCTGCCCTAGAGGAGATGATAAAAAGGGCTTTTGGACCTGCTCCTTTTTTCAGGCTTGCCTTGGTGGGTGTGGTAGGCAGACTAAGTTCCAAAGGTGAGACTGGCAAGCTGTGGTTAAGACTTTACTTTCTCTGGGACACGGGGGGCTGAGCCGTCCTTGTTTTCTTTCCTTCTCCAGGCAGAGGACATGAATGTCAAGTTGGAGGGGGAGCCTTCCGTGCGGAAACCAAAGCAGCGGCCCAGGCCCGAGCCCCTCATCATCCCCACCAAGGCGGGCACTTTCATCGCCCCTCCCGTCTACTCCAACATCACCCCATACCAGAGCCACCTGCGCTCTCCCGTGCGCCTAGCTGACCACCCCTCTGAGCGGAGCTTTGAGCTACCTCCCTACACGCCGCCCCCCATCCTCAGCCCTGTGCGGGAAGGCTCTGGCCTCTACTTCAATGCCATCATATCAACCAGCACCATCCCTGCCCCTCCTCCCATCACGCCTAAGAGTGCCCATCGCACGCTGCTCCGGACTAGTGAGTGACCTCCCTCCGCGACCCTGGCAGGAGCGGGGCTGGGGCACTGGGCAGGGAGGCATCTCAGCCTGTGGGGCTGCTGGGGATTGGGCTGGAACACTCTGGGAGAAGGAGCTCTGCTCTGTCTTCTCTGAGATTGAGAAGGAGGTTGTCCTGGTTCAACAAGGAGGGGTGGGGGGCCCGCCCAGCTGCTTGGATTCAAATCTCAATTCTACCATTTACTATTACATCCACTTTTGCAAGTCACTTCAACTCCCTGGGCCTCAGTTTTTTCAGTATTAAGATGGGGATATTAGTATTACTTGGTTGATGATGAAACTGCCAATATTCAACTATTTTTGGATTCACAAATAGTAGTTTCCTTTGGTTCAACCTAATAGCCACTTCCTAGGCTCAGGTGCATTAGCACACATAAAGCTGGAACATCATGCCCAGGCCATCCTGTTTGCTCATAGTCCTTTGTGGCAGATCTAGTCTCTGGGGCTCTCGAACAGTCTTTTTGGCCAAAAGCAGACATTCTGGAAATATTGGGCTGGCTTGGGGTGATGTACTGCTGAAAAATGTTGCCCACTCCATAAAGAGATCCATTTCCTCTGCAAAATGGGATAATCCAATCCCTTAGGGTGGTAGAGAGGATTAAGTGGAAGTAGCTAGCTTATAGATGCCTTTGGCCAATTAACCTTTGACTGTGACCTCACCCATGGTGTAGCTCTCTGGTGCCCCCTGGTGTCTGTGGATGCAAAATGTTTGCCCTAGGCTGGCCAGCCTTCTGTACTGCTTCCTGGGGAGGCTTCTCCCTGGCTAGGCTGTGTAGGAAGAGGAAGTCATTGTAGAGATCAGACTGGCAGCCAGCGAGAGGTCAGTCTGTCCACGAGTATCTACCGAACACTCGGGCGTAAGGCCTTGTACTGGGTCCTGTGAGGGCTCCAAGAATGTACAGGACACCATGGTCTGTTCTATAGAGAATGCAAGGTCATTAGGGAGTTGACATGAAAGCCTTGGAGTTGAAAAAACAGAGGTTCCCGGTAGTGTGGGATCTGCAGCCAGTGAGCAAAGCCCCAGCAGCTAGCCTGGGATGGTGAGGACTGTATTCAAGAGGGGTGGGGCCAGAGCTGAGCCGCAGCGATGGAGGAGGGCGGGGGGCAGGGAGGACACACCAGGCGGAGGAAATGACTGGTGCAAAGGCCTGTAGATGGGACCGTGCAGGGAGAGTGAGGGGTTGGGAGGTAAGCAGTCAGCTAGGATGCAGGTCCAGGCACATGGGTGGTGGGAGGTACAAATGGAAGCGGAACCGCCTTGAACCCTGAGGGGAGGGTTGCAGGTTTTATCTCACATTGCAGGAGGGAGTCAGTAAAGAGCAAAGATTTTTTTTTTTTTTTTTTTTTAAGCAAAGGAGTGTTTTGATCATGTGGGGCCTTAAGAAGACCAACTTGGGCCTGGGCACGGTGACTCACACCTGTAATTCCAGCTACTTGGGAGGCTGAGGGAGGAGAATTGCTTGAACTTGGAGGTTCAACTCCTTGAGCCGAGATCGCACCACTGCACTCCAGCCTGGGCGGAGACAGAGTGAGACTTTGTCTCAAAAAGCAACAACAACAACAACAAAAACAAAAAAAAAACTAGCTTGGGAGAAACTGAGGCAGAAAATCCAAAGAGGAAGTGAGACGATAACTATAAAACAGCGATCCCCTTCACCACCTCCCTAGTGTGCTCAAAGTTTCAGTCTCTTTACTAGAAAACCACAGCTTTATGTTGGAGTTAGTGTTGGAGCTTCTGGGGGCAAGGATATGGCTTTGGTAGTAGAAGCAGTAATAATAATCTTTATCGAGTGCCAGGCTCTGTGCATTATTTTATCCAGTTCTCACATTAACCGTAGGAGACAGGTAGTGATAGCCCCTTTTGGTGAGTGTGAAAACTGAGGCACCCAAATATTTAGTGAAGGGCCTGCGTTTTCGTAGGTGACAGGCTGCAGAGCCAGGACTCAGGTGCCTGTGTTCCCTGCGTGAGCTCTGTGTGTCACCACTGTGACTCTTGCACATACAGGGCAGCCACTAGGATTGGGGGTGCTTTGCTGAAAGGGGGGTGCTATTTATCAACCTGCTCTTTGTCCCATAGACAGTGCTGAAGTAACCCCGCCTGTCCTCTCTGTGATGGGGGAGGCCACCCCAGTGAGCATCGAGCCGTAAGTGCAGCCCTGCCCCTGGCCGAGGGGTGTGGGTGGCCACACTGGTGCAGTGTGTGCAGGTGGGCCCTGGGAGCAACAGGAGGGTTCCGTGGGGCCTGCAGAGGGCTGAGAGGGCCTCCTTGAGCTTCTGTATGTGGCCCTGGGCTTTGCTGTCCCCGCCCTGCCTCTGTGTGGAAGTTGCAGGGAAGGGCAAGGACCGGCTCAGCTTGAACTTATCTCTAGGAGAGTTGAAAGGGGGGTCCAGAGGCTCTTTCCCATCTGTAAACCTGCAGCTGCTTCTCCCCTCTCCAGCCTCTGGACCTTGCCTTTCTGGTGGTGCCAGGTCAGGCTGTCCTCCCAAGCCCCTAGAAGCCAGACTCCCTACACCTAGCTGAGGCCTTGCTCTGCCGGCTCCCCCTCATCTTCTTCCCACCCTGAGGGATCATCAAGTTCTCCGTCCCCGCAAGGTGAGGCCTCACTTCCTGCCCTTTTCACTCCTCTAGACGGATCAACGTGGGCTCCCGGTTCCAGGCAGAAATCCCCTTGATGAGGGACCGTGCCCTGGCAGCTGCAGATCCCCACAAGGCTGACTTGGTGTGGCAGCCATGGGAGGACCTAGAGAGCAGCCGGGAGAAGCAGAGGCAAGGTGAGGAGGGGCCTGGGGGCAGCAAGTGAGGGCAGGCACATGGGTGGGCCAGGCCTCACCCTGCCCAGCCCCGCCCTGAACGTGGTTTCCTCCCCTCCCTCCTCATGCTCCTGTGGATCCAGTGGAAGACCTGCTGACAGCCGCCTGCTCCAGCATTTTCCCTGGTGCTGGCACCAACCAGGAGCTGGCCCTGCACTGTCTGCACGAATCCAGAGGAGACATCCTGGTGAGAAGGCAACCCCAGCAGAGGGAGGGCCCCTCAGTGGGGGCTGGCTTGGATCCATGTCTGCTGCTCAGGACCTATGGCTGCTGGCATGCACATTTGAGGCCAGTAGGAGGGTCTGACTAAGGAAGGGGCTGTAGGGGCTTGACCCAAGGGAGCCCTAGTTTCAGACCCCGGGTTTTGCTGTGCAGTGTCCTCCTGTCCATTCCCATCCCTGATTCTGGGTCAGTGGACTCAGACTGGATGGTTGCTGAGAGCCTTCTCCAGCAGTGCTGCCTCCCTTGGGGCCATGGACTCTCTTAAGAGGACCTGAGGTCTGTTTTCTGGGCAGCCCCACCCCCTGTGATCTCACCACCCCAGTGGACCCCTTATCTCTCAGCAGTTAAGGGGGCAAGAGTAAGTGTCCACCCTACTCGGGATTTTATCAGGGCCTAGAATGCTCCGTCCACCACCGACACCCCTGTCAGTGCCCTGACCCTTCCCTCACTTCCCCTCCAGGAAACGCTGAATAAGCTGCTGCTGAAGAAGCCCCTGCGGCCCCACAACCATCCGCTGGCAACTTATCACTACACAGGTGGGCCTGGCTGCGGTGGGCATGGTGCCTGGAGCCTCAAGAGGTCTCCAGCATCCATGGGGCCCTGCTCAGTGCTGAGTCACAGCCCTGGGTGGGGGCGGGAGGAGGAGGGTAGATAAGCCAAGAGTCAGAGTGAGGGAACTGCCACCAAAGCTGGGGTAGCTCTCCAGGGGTTTCCTGTGCCCTGGAGGGGAGGGGAGAAGGGAGTGGGCAGGTGGGAGACCATCCAGGCAAAAAAGCCCAGGCCACAAGGACAGGAACCCATGGAGAGCCATCCAGATTGGCATCAGGTACCTGGAACTTAGCCCCAGGAGTGCATGTCCTGTTCTGGTCACTTTAAGAAGGACATGGACCGAGTCACATAATCCTAACAGCCAATGTTTTCCATGCATGTTAGTGCTACATTTCATCTGCACCAGGCAGAGCACCAAGGGTTTCACATGCATTATCTTATTTAATCCTCACCACAGCTGGTGAGCTAGGTGATATTAGTTTCCATTTCACAAGCAAGGGAGCGAGGCTGTGAGGCACATGGAAGTGGGACGAGGAGCCGGCTCTGATGCCTGCAGAAACCATGGGCGGATGGCCTCACACTTTTTTGCTTGTCAAAATTGCCCTGCAGTGGCCAGGGCCCTGCCCACCTCACTCCCTGGCTGCCTCTTTGCCCCATAGGCTCTGACCAGTGGAAGATGGCCGAGAGGAAGCTGTTCAACAAAGGCATTGCCATCTACAAGAAGGATTTCTTCCTGGTGCAGAAGCTGGTGAGCTGGGCTCTGTTTCAGGGCAAATGAGGGCCAGGAGCTGCCTGTGTGACTTTGGGGCTCCCTCTGCCAGTGACCAATCCCTCTTAAAAAGCAGTCAGGTCAATGCTACTGAGTAGCCTCAGAGAGAATTTCCTAAACAATACAAGAAAGAGAAAGATAGGTCTCTTTTCCCTTTTGGTTCTAAGCATCCTTTCCTCACTTCAGGGTAGGGTGGCCAAGCTCTGGGGTCTCAATCCAGAAGGAGGCCTAAGTGGGCATCAGACTTAAAATAGGCAGGAGGAAGATGCGGAGGAGGGTGGCAAGTAGAGGTGAGCCATTCCCCAGAGGAAGATGCAGGGGGAGGGCACCCTGGGGTGAAGGCCACTGAGAGCCAGCAAGTGCCTGCGGAGCTGACCTGGGGGCCTCTGCCCACTTCCTTTGACCCAGAGTTGCCTTCCAGTAACTCAGCTGTTCAAGCCCACATTCCCTAGATTTATCTTGTCCTCTCTCCATATTCTTCTGGAAAAGCAGATGCTTTGCTAATCCAAGGAATTGCATCTTTCCAGCCCTGTCTCACAAAATCTGGGCTGTGGGGAGAGAGAATTGTGTGGACTGCCAAGGGAAAAGAGTTTTTAAAAAGAGCATGCCCTTTCCTCTTGGGATTGTAGATTGTATTGGGAACAGCCCTGGGGACTAGACAAAGTGCTGATGATGAATTCCCCTACAAGGGCCCTGTTGTGAGGAGTCCTTTGCTGTGTTTTAGTAACACGCTATTCCCTGATTGGGCAATACTGACGGGAAGTACACGCCCGTGAAATTCACGGAGGCGCCCCTAATGCCTAATGAAATGAGCAGACCTTTAGTCAGTCAAACAAAGGGTCAGAGAGAATTGACAGTAAATGTGTAAATGGCCTAATTAATACATGTGTGACTTGGCCATTTCTGTGAGATGAAACATGTCTGTTTCCTCCTCAGACACAAAGGGCCCACACTGACCCCTGGCCTCTCTGGACAGGAGCTCCCAGCCCAGCGGTGGCTGAGCAATGTGCGAGCCTGTGTGGTGGTGTCAGAGGAAACAGCCTCTGGGTGTGGGAAAGTTGCCCAAAAACTAAACCCAGTGGCCAAATAGATTTATGCAATGGGAGAGCTAGAATTTCAGAGCTTGAGAGGCAGGTCCCTGGAGATCATCTAGTCTTACTTAACCCCATTTGCTATTTACACATGAAAAAACTGAAATTAGAAAAGTGAGTGACTTGCCTAAGCTCGAATAGCTGTGTGGTAGCAGAGTCAGGAGGAAGACTTAGGCCTTTCGCTTCCTCCTCAGGTTTTCCAGGGCTTTCTTGTGAGTTTCCCTTGAGTTCCTCCCCCGACAGGGGACACTGTGACATTTCTGTATGCTCACTTCTCAGCCACTGCTCCCTGGAGAGAAATGAAATTGTTTGCCTGGATTAATGAAAAGCGTCTGTGTTGCCAGGTCAGGGCTGGCTTTGGATGTAGATGGTGCCCAGACCTTTTCCCTCAACTTTTCAGTTTGAAAAATTTCAAACTTAGAGGAAAATGGAAAGAACAGTAGAATGAACACCCATCCACCCCGGACTTAGATTTAGCAATCGTTAACATTGGCTATATTTGCTTTCTCTTTCTCTATGTCTAAACATAGACACACACATATACAGCTCTCTCTTGTTCTCTGATTCAGCTAATCATTAAAAGTAAGTTACAGTCATCCTGTCACATGACTAAAACCTTTCAGCACGTATCTCCTAAAAACCAAGATATTCTACAAAACCACAGTACCATTAGCACGCCCACGAAATTTAACCTGATAAAATAATTCAGGCCAGGCGAGGTAGCTCACGCCTGTGATTCCAGCACTTTGGGAGGCAGAGGCAGACGGATCACTCCTGAGGCCAGGAGTTTGAGACCAGGCTGGCCAACATGGCAAAACCCCATGTCTACTAAAAATATTTAAAAAAAACTAGCTGGTTGTGGTGGCACACACCTGTAATCCCAGCTACTCAGGAAGCTGAGGCACGAGAATTATTTGAACCTGGGAGGCGGAGGTTGCAGTGAGCCAAAATCGCGTCACTGCACTCCAGCCTGAGTGACAGAGCGAGACTCTGTCTCCAAAAAAAAGAAAAAAAAATACAGTAATGCCCTCTGATATGCAATCCATATTGCCATCTCCCGAGTGGTTCCGACATTGTCCTTTATAGCTTTTTTTATTTATTTACTTATTTTAAATAGTGCTGAAGCATTGATTAATTGATCAGTGGTTTGTTGCAGAGCAGGCATTGGAAAAATGCTTGTATTGCCTGGGTTGGCTGGGTTTCATTTTGGCTTGAAGTTAAGGGAAAGATGCAGGGACGAGAAAGGCTGGATTCTCCACAGGCAGATGAGCCAAACCAGAGGGTTCTGACCTCAGTTTTGACTTCAAACCAGATCCAGACCAAGACCGTGGCCCAGTGCGTGGAGTTCTACTACACCTACAAGAAGCAGGTGAAAATCGGCCGCAATGGGACTCTAACCTTTGGGGATGTGGATACGAGCGATGAGAAGTCGGCCCAGGAAGAGGTTGAAGTGGATATTAAGGTGACTCCTTTTCCAACCTCAGCTGCATAGAGCCTGGGCTGGGTCTGGGACCAGGCCTGAGCTGGGAGCCCGAGCCCGAGCTCTCCAGGAGCCTGCAGAGGGCAGGTTGAGGAAGACAGTGTCCCTGACAGCCGCAAGGAGCCCTGGACCGCTGGGTTCTCCTCTCTATACTGCTGGTGTCATAGTAATAATACATTGTGTTGATACACAGGGTAATTTTCCCACAAGATTCACACCAGCATCATCTTCCTATCTCCGCTTAGCAGACCTCTAACACTGTTTCTCAAACCTCAGTCATTCTTGTATCACCTTTTTGATTTCTGCCATATCTGCATCCTACCATGTGTCGCCATTAGAATTTTTGTCATATTCATATACTACTTGTGCCATTACTTAATATTTTCCTTTAAGTCAACTCATTTTTTACTCAGAAGGGAAGTTTTATATCACAGTGATAAATAGAAAACCAAGGTTGTGTGCTATAAATAGAAGGTACTGGTAAAAATATATGTGAAAACCAGTATTACTGAATTCTAGCTAGATGCTGTGTTACCTGCCAAGGCTGAGACTGAGGGCTGACCTTGCTTTGTTAAAGAGATTATCAAGTCTAGAGAAGTATAAAAGACACATTAGCAGCAACCAGAGACTGAGTCCTTGGCATAATCAGGATTGAAAGAGAATTAAAAGGGAAGGTTACTTAATCCTATGTCCATGTATCCACCTAGCATCATTTTTGGGATTGCAAATCCACGCTTGGTGACATGCTACGGTAAGACAGGGAGTGGTTTGCTGCCCATTTTGCAGGCAGGAAGGTAGTAGAGCTACAGAAAGCATTACAAAGATAGTTTGGAATTGGAACTCAAGGCTTCTGCCTGGCTCACCACATCATTGCCGAGGATGCCTCCTGGTCATCTGTCCAGGAGGATGGGTGGCAATGGGGAGTGACTGGTATGTACCCTCCTTGCCCCTCGTTCTCTCTCAGGTGCTCCCAGGGCTTGAGACTCTTCTGTCCCCATGGCTACTATGCCATGGGGACAGAGTCCAGAGTCCTAGTACAGAAGACTATGCTGGGCCAGCCAGGCGAGCAGGACTAGCTGGGGCTGGTGAACCCCCCGGCCGGGTCAGAATCTGTGCTACAGCAGTGAGACAGAGCTCTAGGCTCACTGCCCTTGTTCTTGTTCCCCATAGACTTCCCAAAAGTTCCCAAGGGTGCCTCTTCCCAGAAGAGAGTCCCCAAGTGAAGAGAGGCTGGAGCCCAAGAGGGAGGTGAAGGAGCCCAGGAAGGAGGGGGAGGAGGAGGTGCCAGAGATCCAAGAGAAGGAGGAGCAGGAAGAGGGGCGAGAGCGCAGCAGGCGGGCAGCGGCAGTCAAAGCCACGCAGACACTACAGGCCAATGAGTCGGTGAGTGTGACCACCATGGGCTGAGCCCAGGGCAAGCAGGGTGGAGCTGGGCCTGGGGGCGTGGGAGGGAGGGTAGAGCAGGACTGTGATCCTCATTATAATCATAATAGCAGGAAATGTGTGAAGTACTTTGTGCTGTTAACTCATTTAATCCTCACTACCCTATGTGGTTAGGTATTACTGTTATTCCCATTTTATAGATGGGGAAATTGTGGCCCAAGATAACACAGCTAGTAGGCAGCCTGAATCCAGAGTCTGCGATTAATTTTTATACTCTACTGCTTCTGTATCTGAGATTCAGAGGGAAAAAGGTTTTGTGAAAACCCAGTAGGTATGTGGGTCACTGAGGGAGCATTGGTGGTTTGCAGACAGGGCTCCCCTAAGAGAGCCAGAGTCCCTGACAAGAATGAGACTGAGCTGAGACCATGGGAATGACAATCATAGGCCCTCAGGCATGATCTCTGCAAAGTGCTTTCATTTCCATTATCTCATTAGTTCCTCACACTGCAGAGTTAACCTCTACTCTGCAGATGGGGGAAAGCAGTTCAGAGATGCTAAGTGACTTGCCCCAGGTCCTTGGACTCCTAGTGCAGTGCTCTGTCCACCATATCACAGGCCAAGAAACAAGACTACTGGCCATAGTTGCTCCTTGCCAGGGAGAGTTCTCCCAGAAAGGGGTAAGGAGGGGAAGGGGTTTATTGGGGAGCTGCTGCTTTTTTAGAGTCTTTTTTTTTAGAAATGTATGTAGTAGGCCGGGCGCAGTGGCTCACACCTGTAATCCCAGCACTTTGGGAGGCCAAGGTGAGTGGATCACCTGAGGTCAGGAGTCGAGACCAGCCTGGCCAACAAGGTGAAACCTCATCTCTATTAAAAATACAAAAACTAGCTGGGCATGGTGGTGCACGCCTGTAATCCCAGCTACTCCAGAGGCTGAGGCAGGAGAATCACTTGAACCCAGGAGGTGGAGGAGGCGGAGGTTGCAGTGAGCCAAGATCATGCCACTGCACTCCAGCCTGGGTGACATAGCAAGACTCCATCTCAAAAAAAAAAAAAAAAAAAAGGAATGTGTGTAGTACACTCATGCTTACAGAGCTCCCATAAACTGTAAACACACGGCTGTGTGCCCACTTCTGAGCCTCGACCACCTGCACCAAGAGCTGTGCTCTGTGTAGCGCTCTACAGAGTTCTGTTGACTTTTGTGAACTTTCCCATGAGGGTGCCACTTCTGATGGCCACCCGGGGCTTCCCCAGCCGAGGTCACCTCTGCTCCCTCTGCTCTGCACTCTGACCCCTGCCCTTGCCCTGTTTGGTGTCCCTGCAGTGCGCTGTCCTGAAGTAGCTACCTGCGCATCTGTCCCTTCCACCAGATCCTCAGCTCTGAGGGCAGGGATGCCTGTGTCAACCTCTTTGTCCCTAGCATCTGGCCCATCACAGGGGCCTGAATCTCATTTATAGAACAGGGCATGAGCGGACTAAATGACAGAAAACATCAACAGGTAGGTGCTTCATTAACCCAGAGACCAAGATCCCCTGTCAGGCGCATCAAGGCCTCTAGCAGCTCGGGCTGCCCCACAGAATTACTCTAGCAGCAACTTTGTAAACGATAGAGCTGACCAGAGATGCAGAGTTGGAGGAGGCAATGGTCGTCATATCCCTGGAAGGACCCAAGTGCATGCTAGGTGACTGTTTGGCAGGAATATATATGACTTTTCAGGCCCCCGGTTCCCTGCGATTTTAGAATTCCAGATCTGCGCTTGCTCAGATCACTCAACTCTCCTTGTTTGATTTTCTTCAGGCCAGTGACATCCTCATCCTCCGGAGCCACGAGTCCAACGCCCCTGGGTCTGCCGGTGGCCAGGCCTCGGAGAAGCCAAGGGAAGGGACAGGGAAGTCACGAAGGGCACTACCTTTTTCAGAGAAGAAGAAAAAAACAGAGACATTCAGTAAGACCCAGAATCAGGAGAACACTTTCCCCTGTAAAAAATGTGGCAGGTAAGGTGGGCAGCGCTGTCCCCGCTGGGACCCCCGCGGGCTGGTGCGCGGAGGGGGCGGGGGTGGGGTGGAGGGGAGGGGGAAGAGGTACAGGCGGTGTCCGCCTCGTTTCTGGTTGGCTCAGCGGGTTTCTAGGGCTGTGACGTCATGGGGCAGCTTTCGGAAAATGACGCGAGCTGGCCGGCCGCGGCTGTGCAGCGTGGGGGTGAAGGTGAAGGCTGGGGCTCCTCGCGCACCCGCGCTGGGGGCCCCCGGGTGGGCTAGGCCGGTTCTGAGCAACCCCCACCCGGCTGCAGGGTGTTTTACAAGGTGAAGAGCCGCAGTGCGCATATGAAGAGCCACGCAGAGCAGGAGAAGAAGGCTGCAGCGCTGAGGCTGAAGGAGAAAGAGGCCGCTGCTGCCGCCGCCGCCGCCCACCAGCAGGCCCTGCGGGAGGAGAGCGGTGCGGGCGACAAGGGCTGAGCGCGGGAGCCAGGCTGGCCCAGTCCTGGGCCTCGGCCCTTCCCGCACCGCCGCCAGCGCCCGCAGACACCCTGGCATCTCAAGAGGGAGTGAGGAGAGGATTGCAGGGACTTTTCCCTGCGAAACAAATGAGACAATGACATAAACGGCTCTTTTATTTATGAAGGCCCTGGGAGCAGCGTTAAGGGCTCCAGGATCCAGCTCTCTTTGCATTTGGTCTGTCGGAAGCTGTCCTCGTGCTTTCCTGGACCGGGAGAGTCCCGGTCCCCTCGGGAGGGACTCCACCGCCTCTCACACTCCGATTTCTGCTGCTCTGCTGCCCCGCAGTCTTTTCCCTTTATTTGCTTCCCCCTCCTCCCCTCGGCCTCCAGGAAGCCACCGTGGCCGGCCAAGCACAAGCTCACCCACTTTGGAGCAGCATTTCTCCTCCCCAGAGGACCTCGAAGGCTGCAACGGCCCTGCCCCAAGCCCCAGAAAAAGAAACTCTTGGAGGGAGTCTGCGGGCTTCTCTGAGAAGGGGCGCAGCCTGACACCTGTGCTGTCCCTGCAGTCTCTAGGCCTGTCTGAGCTGCTCCCGTGACCGTGTCCTGAGTGGCCACCTCCTCCTTGGGAGGGAGGCCGCGGCAGGTACTCTCCCTTTGCTGCTTGCTGGCGGCCTTGCTAGGGCTAGAAAGTTTTCTCAGCGTTGGGGGAGGGGCTAGCGTTCTTGTCCAAAGCACTCATCCTGCTGCAGGGAAGGGAGCTGTACGGAGGCTGGAAGCTGCAGGGTTAGGCCCGAGAGAGCTTTTGACAAGCCTGGCTCTTCCTGCTTCCCACCTTTTTGGCTGAATACCTTTGGGTCCTGGAGGCTGCCAAGGGCGCTTCGCCTTGAGCAGGTCCCGGAGAGGCTCAGCCTGCCCCTCCTGGGGCCAGCCTCCTTGCCTCTGCTCTGACCTCAGCAGCTACACCTAACCCCACCGCACCCTACCCAGTGTCGATATCCACAACCCAGCCCCCAGGCCTGCACTTTGGAGATTTCTGGATCCTTCCCTGGGAGGGAGAGGTCTCCTAACTCGATTGGACAGGAGCCTTCATTCCTTGACTCGTGTCATTTGGGAGCTATTTATTTATTCTTAGTATTTAATTTTTAACATCCTCTCAGGGACCAGGGGCCTCCTGCTTTTCAGAGGCCCGAGTGCATTTATCCCAAAACGAGGCATCTTGACATCCCCTATCCCCACCCCCTAAATTCCCAAGGCCCTAAGGTCCCTCACCTGGTTGCTCTGGAAGCTCTTGCTGATAGGAATGATAGCAACACTGAAAGAGCGTGGGAAGGTGGAGGGTGTCACCAGACCCACACAGAGCAAGGGAGATTAAGGCAGTTCTTGCTGCCCCTTCTCTGGCTGTGCTTTGCCTGAGGGAAGAGTTGGCAAGAGGCCAGAATTCTAGTTTGGTTTATGGGGCCTGGATTCTGGCTTGAAGAAGCCATATTTGGCATGGGTGAAGTGAAAGGGCCAGGAGGTTCTGGAGGCCCCTTCACTTCCAGTCCCATAGCGGGGCTCAGCTATTTTTCTGATCTTATTCAACTTTAGTTGTGCAAAAGAAATTCTAAGTGAATGCGCGTATGACAGGTCAACGTATTAGGAAGGAGCCAGAAAGTATTCATACTGCTACTCCTTATGAGATAGCCAAGAAGCATCATGTCAGTAACTGGGAGTGGAGAGGGAGTTTTGTTTTGAAACTATGCAGGTATTTTTCAGCATCCATTTGTACATTAGTATGGTTCTACAGGACCCCAGCTGTGGAAGTAACAAATTTCTTCTCCCTCCAGACTCTTGGATGACTACCTAGATCCCCAGCTTACCGGTTAGTTTCCTCCACAGGCTTCCATGAGCTCAGTGTCCCAAGACAGCAAAAATCTGGTATACCCTGTAGAAGCAGGGGGGTAGCAAATTTAGGCTCTCTTCGAAATTACTTGTACAATACGAGTGCCTTCGCAGCTTAGCCCCAAAGTGCTACTTATGTTTCCCAAGGTCTTTTCTATTCAAATCATATTTGGTTTCAGGCCCCTTTATGGGCATACGGTAACAGAAACCTCCATCATTCATATGAGACCCTTTTGTCAGTGGTAACATCTTGTACTTGGAAAAAAAATTTTTTTTTTTTTTTTTTTTTTTTTTTGAGACAGAGTCTCATTCTGTCGCCCAGGCTGGAGTGCAGTGGTGTGATCTTGGCTCACTGCAACCTCCGCCTCTTGGGTTAAAAGAATTCTCCTGCCTCAGCCTCCTGAGTAGCTGGGATTATAGGCACACACCACCACACCCAGCTAATCTTTTTGTATTTTTTTTTTTAGTAGAGACAGGGTTTCGCCATGTCGGCCAGGCTGGTCTTGAACTCCTGACCTCAGGTGGTCCACCCGCCTCGGCCTCCCAAAGTGCTGGCATTACAGGCGTGAACCACCGTGCCTGGCCGGAAGTCTTTAAAAAATAAAGTGATTCTACTCTTCTAAGCTTACAGAGACCAGACCAGGTGAATGTAACTGGGGAAAATCAAGATGGTACCTCTCTGCATTATCCCGCCAGACACTGTATTTTATGCATTCATGTCTAGGATACAGTGTGAAAATTAAAAAGTTTAGAGGGCAGATGCAATTGTGGCAAGTGACCTGCCAATAAAGCAGGTGCAGCTATAGAAGCTGGCATAGGTATATCCTTAATGGTGCTTTCTCCCTGGGCTTGTCTTTTTGTTGTTTTTTTCCCCCTATATTCAGAGCTCCTTGAGAAGTGATAAACACCTCCAGCTTTCTAACATCCTCCCCACACCATCTCACCATATCCATCTCCCAGCATCCATCTGCATTCAGCTAAGGGCGGGAAACTGACCTAGTGCCTGTGTTGCAGACCATTTCTGAGGTCTCCACCATCCAAGGAGGCACAGCCGTCATTACTGTCCTCCATGCCTTCAGCAGCCCCCCTCACAGCTAAGGTACATACCACCCCTTCTGCCGCGCCTCCACCCCTGGCACCAAGGTCTTCTGCTGCTTATGTCTAAAGGGATCACCTATATTTAACTGCCTCAGTGACCTAACCTCTTTCTTCTCATGTGCCAGATGTTAAGATGAAGGAGGAATACAACACATACTCAAGCCTCAGCCTGTTTAGTTGTTTTCACTGGGGCTCGCTTTTCTGGGACGGTATTTATTATCAGACTGGCAAGCCTAACTCCATAGGTTTACAGGAAGTAGGGATATTTTTATAAAACAATTGTGTCCTCCCCACATTTTGCTATGTTAATATTTGCTTCTAACAATTTGCAGCTGTTTCACTTTTTCCTCATTTGTCTCTAAGTTGAAGGCTTTGTTGGAGGGGACAGAGCACAGGAACAGCCTTGACAGTCTGTAATTATTGTACAGATATTTTAATAGCATATAAATAAGTATATTCCTTTTATTTTGAAACAAAAATGATCAGACACTGCCTTTTGTGTGTTTGCTGCCTGTGGCATCCTTTTTTAAAAAGACTGTTACATATTAAAATAGTGTACATATATAAATATTACCTCTTTTGCTGTACAGTTGTGATAGAGACTGAAGATTTTATTTTTTGTGTGCTTTTTATAAGAAAAAAATTAATACACTAAAGAATCTTGCTGATGTGATTGTAATGTACCTATGTAACTTATTTACTTTTGAATGTTCTTCTGTATCTTTAAACCTTTTATTAAATAAGGTTTTAAAAATTCAGAGTTGAATGCTTTGTTCTCTTGGGATTTTCACCATCTGGGGTTGATGTAAGTGCGCCTTGTCTTGCTTGCAGGGAGATTACTCGACATTTTTGAACCATAAGGATTCTCTTTTAGCAGCCTATTGTCAATGATGCCAGCCAGGAAAAGGAAAATAATACACTAATGTTTGCCTGGCTAAAAGATGACTCAGTAGACACAGACAGATTTTTACAAAATTTTAGACAAGAAAAAGTCTAAACTCAGTGTCTCACACAAATACACAGAAATGGCGCACTCCGACATTTTGGCTTCATTGGGATGAAATATGCAGGGTGCACAGTGTGGTCAGGGGCAACGGGAAGCCAGGGTTCTGAGGAGAGTATTTTCACGTGCAGGGTGGACTGGCTGAGCAACCCGAGTAGACAAGTCCACCATGAGGGATGCATTTCCAACAATATCATCTTAAATCCACTCCAGGATTGGGTTATTATTTTTAAAACACGGTGCTTAGTAGTAGTTGTTTACTGTTAAAATGCTAAATTATGAAAAAGGAAATGCGCCATCAGAGAAACAAATGCCCGAGCCCCTCGCTGGCTCCACGGCAACCGCTCGACCCCCGCGAGCCGCCGGAGCAGGCGTGCCTCGCGCCGGCTGGGACACCGTTGCCATGGAGACGCCCGAGCAGCTCCGCCGCGGGGGCGGGACGGGGCGGGGCGGGGCGGACGCCGCTCGCCGGCTGGCCCCATCCTCCACTGCAGCAGTAACGTCGCGGCGGGTTGCGGGTAGGACTGGACGCCAGAGCAGCCGCGCAGCGCCTGAACCGCTGCGGGCCGCCGCGGCCGCCCCTTCCCACCCTCGCCTCTGCTGTCTCCAGCCTCGCTTCTCCGACTTTCCTGCTCCTCTGCTGCCTTCGTTTCTGGTCCTCGGCCGTCCTCGCCGCCCGCCCAGAGGAGTCCCCGCGCCCGCCAAGAAGCCGCTTTCCGCTGGCCCGCAGCCGCCGCGACTTCGGCACAGTTTCTCCCTCTGGCTAGTCTCCCAAACGGCCGCTCCTCGCCCGCGGGAAGACCAGGCTGCGACCGCGAACGCCCGATCCTCTCCAGGAGCCGCAGCGAGCGCCCGGCGGCCACGCCCCGCGACCACACCCCGGCGGCTCTCGGCCCAGCGCGCCTGCCTTCGCCGCCCGCCGTCGCTCCTCGCCCGCTGCACGACGACGCGACGCCCCTGCTGCAGGCGGCGGACCCGACCGGACCCAGACCCAGACGCAAGATGGCGACGGCCGCGTGACTGCCTCAGCGTCCCCGAGCTCGGCTCCGAGTGCACCTACGGACTGACTGTGGGGGCAGAGAAGGGCGAGATCAGGACTCTGTCTTTGTTAATCGTGACTGCATGAAGGTCGCCTCCCTCGGGCCTACTTGGTGGGAGTGTCTGGTATTGTTCTAAGGCCAGGAGCACGGTGAGCCACAGTCTGTTGGTAGAATTTGGCGTCTTGATAGTTGAGAAAATGGCGATGACACTGTTGGAAGACTGGTGCCGGGGGATGGATGTGAACTCCCAGAGAGCTCTGTTAGTCTGGGGCATCCCAGTGAACTGTGATGAGGCTGAAATCGAAGAGACCCTCCAGGCTGCGATGCCCCAGGTCTCCTACCGAATGCTTGGGAGAATGTTCTGGAGGGAAGAAAATGCGAAAGCAGCCTTATTAGAGCTCACTGGCGCTGTAGATTACGCCGCGATCCCCAGGGAGATGCCGGGCAAAGGAGGGGTCTGGAAAGTGTTATTTAAGCCCCCAACTTCTGATGCTGAATTTTTAGAAAGATTGCACCTCTTCCTAGCTAGAGAGGGGTGGACCGTGCAAGATGTTGCCCGTGTCCTTGGGTTTCAGAACCCTACTCCGACCCCGGGCCCAGAGATGCCAGCAGAGATGCTAAACTATATTTTGGATAATGTTATTCAGCCTCTTGTTGAGTCCATATGGTACAAGAGGCTGACACTTTTCTCGGGGAGGGACATCCCAGGGCCTGGAGAGGAAACCTTTGATCCCTGGCTGGAGCACACTAATGAGGTCCTAGAGGAGTGGCAGGTGTCCGATGTAGAAAAGAGGCGGCGGTTGATGGAGAGTCTTAGAGGCCCCGCCGCTGATGTTATTCGCATCCTTAAGTCCAACAACCCCGCGATAACCACTGCCGAATGCCTGAAGGCGCTTGAGCAGGTGTTTGGGAGCGTTGAGAGCTCTAGGGATGCCCAGATCAAATTTCTGAACACTTATCAGAACCCGGGAGAAAAATTGTCTGCTTATGTCATTCGTCTGGAGCCTCTGCTACAGAAGGTGGTAGAGAAGGGGGCCATTGATAAAGATAATGTGAACCAGGCCCGCCTAGAGCAGGTCATTGCCGGGGCCAACCACAGCGGGGCCATCCGAAGGCAGCTGTGGCTTACCGGGGCTGGGGAAGGGCCAGCCCCAAACCTCTTTCAGTTGCTGGTGCAGATCCGTGAGGAGGAAGCCAAGGAGGAGGAGGAGGAGGCTGAGGCCACCCTTCTGCAGTTAGGCCTGGAAGGGCACTTCTGAGTGCCAGGAAAGGCAGCTTTAGTGCAGACCTAGATCACAGCTACTTTTCTTGTCCCTGTGGGGTCTTACAGATGTGTCTCTGAGTAGTAAAGGCTTAGCCTTGTTCTGTTTTGTTGTTTTTTGGAGGGGAAGGTTAGTCAGGCCTGAGTATTCATGTAACATTCTAAAATTGTGCCAGCGAGCACCGTGAACGACTGCAATGCAAGCGGGTCTTGCTGGCTAAAATGCCAGGTAAAGGGTTGGTTGGACACAGCGCTTAGTGCACGCTGTCATCATGGACATCATAATCAGTTGTGAAAAACACGCGAACCTATGACACTTCTTATTCCACACTGAATGTGAAATTGCATGTTCAGATGTTTACTACGAGGCCTGGCTCACAGGAAGTGTTCAGTAAAAGTATGCACTGTTAGATTACTGATAACGCGGATAGATTTTTGTTTACCATAAATTGTTCCAGATTTATATTAATGGAAGGAAGTGTGCATTTATTAGCTATTACTCAACTTTACAATGCAAACATCTTATTTCTCATCTTTAAACATGTCGACCAGTTTAATTGAAAAGTATTCTGAGACTGCAAAATGGGGTGTTAAAAAATACTGCAGTTACGGAGCTGTGTAAACCAGTTTCTCATTGCATAAGATACAGATGTAAATTGCATGGAGAGGTTGATATGCACCTGTACAGTAATTCACTCCCCCATTTCACATCTTTGTCAGAGAATAGTTCTTGTTCATACTGAGTGTTCTAAATTTGAAGTTATATATACAAATTAAAATATTTTAAAAATTCTGTTGTCTTCTCATTTTTCTGGCATGTATAAACATTTTTAGCCTAAGTAAACTGTCCTTTTTTCTTATGAAGACTTTGTCATTAAATCAAACCATTTATTTTAAGCTTTGTATGATACTATGTGAATTTAAATGGCAGGTCCTTTTTTTCCTTCCCCTCTTGCTGTCATCTTAACAGTTTTTTGTTTTGTTTTTTAATTTTTAAAATTTTTTATTTTTATCGGGCAGAGAGGGTCTTGCTCTGTTGCCCAGCCTGGAGTGCAATGGAGCGATCTCGGCTCACTGCAACCTCTGCCTCCCGGGTTCAAGTGATTCTCCTGCTTCAGCCTCCTGAGTAGCTGGGATTACAGACATGCGCCACCACGCCTAGCTAATTTTGTATTTTTTTAGTAGAGACGGGTTTCACCATGTTGGTCAGGCTGGTCTGGAACTCCTCACCTCAAGTGATCCACCCACCTCGGCCTCCCAAAGTGCTGGGATTACAGGCGTGAGCCACCTCGCCGTCTCTACTAAAAATACAAAAATTAGCCGGGTGTGGTGGTGCGTGCCTGTAATTCCCGCTACTTGGGAAGCTGAGTCAGGAGAATCGCTTTGGGAGGCGGAAGTTGCAGTGAGCCGAGATTGCGCCATTGCACTGCAGCCTGGGCAACAGAGTGAGACTCCATCTCAAAAAAAAAAAAAAAAAAATTTAGATACCAGATTTGGCTCACACTTGTAATCCCAGCACTTAGGGAGGATTGCCTGAAGCCAAGATTTTGAGACCAGCTTGGGCAACATAGACCCAATCTCCACCCAAACTTTTAAAAATTAGCCAGGCATGGTGGCACACGCCTGTGGTCCCAGCACTAAGGTGGCCACCCAGCGGCTAAGGTGGGACATCGCTTGAGCTCAGCAGGTTGAGGCTGCAGTAAGCCATGATCGTCCCACCGCACTCCAGCCTGGTGATAGAGTGAGACCCTGTTTCTCAAAAAATTTTTTTTTAGAAAATCTTGAAATGGGGTTCAGGAGGTTATCTGGCAGTGTTTTTCTCTTAAGATCACTTTTCAGCTAAACATTTTGTTTCACTGAAGAAATAGCTATAATTCATCACACCTGTGTAAAATGAAGGCTATTTTACAGCAACCATTTTATAGCAGGACGATATAAAAAGGGAAATACAACTTTAAAACATGTTTATTTTGCTGCAAAGATTCAGTGATTGAAGATGTCCATCTTTTGAGATCCTCAGTGAATCTAAAGTTATTACATGAATATTGTGTTCAGTGAGCCTTTCCCTAATAAGGTTTTAAAATTATAGCTGAGCCATTCGACAAGTCTATAAGGGGTAATGTATGTTCTTCCAGATTTTTCGGTACACGTATTCGCTTCATGTCAGTACATCCCTTTCCTCCTGTCACAAAAACATCTCCACATACTTGCCTTGGTTCCCAACAGATATGCTCAGCTTCACTTACCACAAACACTTGGCATGTCTTCACCTGCTACCCATCATTCACAGAACTTTCCCCTCCATTCCCACCAGCATCAGGTGCACACTCACCCCTCTTACACTCTTGACACACTGTCATCTCCCCGTCAGTACTCCCATCATAACATACACCCTCCTCCTGCTCCACATGTACACGATGTCAGTCTCCCACCCCCAACATATATTCCCATTTCTCCTCACACCCACACACACTCCCACCACCAAACACCAACCAGCCACCACATATGTATACACACTCCCACTCCACACATATACACACATACTGCATTTTTTTTTTTGAGACGGAGTCTCGCTGTGTTGCCCAGGCTGGAGTGCAGTAGCGTAATCTCAGCTCACTGCAACCTCTGTCTGTTGGGCTCAAGTGATCCTCCTGCCTCAGCCTCCCAAGTAGCTGGGATTACAGGTGTGTGCCACTACGCCCGGCTAATTTTTGTATTTTTAGTAGAGACAAGGTTTCACCATGTTGGCCGGGCTGGTCTCAAACTCCTGACCTCGTGGTTTGAAAGTACTCCAAAAATGCTGGGATTACAGGCGTAAGCCACCACAACTGGCCCACATACTACATTTTTAAAAATGGGCCCGTTGTAGTGGCTCACACCTGTAATCCCAGCACTTTGGGATGCTGAGGTGGGAGGATCACTTAAGGACAGGAGTTCAAGACCAGCCTGAGCAAAATACCAAGACCTTGTCTCCACAAAAATAAGTAAATTTAAAAATTAGCCAGGCTATTTAGGAGGCTGATGCAGGAGGATTGCTTGAGCCCAGGAGTTCAAGGTTGCAGTGATCTATGAACATGCCACCGCACTCCAACCTGGGGTGACGGAACAAGACCCTGTCTCGAAAAAAACAAAACAAAACAAAAAACCACGCACACAGATGCACCAAAAAAACAAACTAGGTATATAAGGATTATTCGGGGGGGGCGGGGGGGTTGTTTGTTTTGTTTTTTTGGTGTATGCTTGGGGTTTTTTTTTTTTTGGCCCAATATGTTATGGACATCCTTCTACAGTTTAAACATGGGGGGATAGACCTTCTTTTCATAGATGCAGAGTTGGCTGCATTCTTAGGAGGGAAGTTATTTTCATGCACGTCCGTGTGAAGAGAGCACCAAACAGGCTTTGTGTGAGTAACGTGGCTGTTTATTTCACCTGGGTGCAGGCGGGCTGAGTCCGAAAAGAGAGTCAGCAAAGGGTGGTGGATTATCATTAGTTCTTATAGATTTTGGGATAGGCGCTGAAGTTAAGAGCAATGTTTTGCGGGCAGGGGTGGATCTCACAAAGTACATTCTCAAGGGTGGGGAGAATTACAAATAACCTTCTTAAGGGTGGGGGAGATTACAAAGTACATTGATCAGTTAGGGTGGGGCAGGAACAAATCACAATGATGGAATGTCATCAGTTAAGGCTATTTTTATTTCTTTTGTGGATCTTCAGTTACTTCAGGCCATCTGGATGTATACGTGCAAGTCACAGGGGATGCGATGGCTTGGCTTGGGCTCAGAGGCCTGACATTCCTGCCTTCTTATAATAAGAAAAATAAAACAAAATAGTGTTGAAGTGTTGGGGCGGCGAAAATTTTTGGGGGGTGGAATGGAGAGAGAATGGGCGATGTTTCTCAGGGCTGCTTCAAGCGGGATTAGGGGCGGCGTGGGAACCTAGAGTGGGAGAGATTAAGCTGAAGGGAGGTCTTGTGGTAAGGGGTGATATTGTGGGGATGTTAGAAGAAACATTTGTCGTATAGAATGATTGGTGATGGACTGCATATGGTTTTGGATGAATTGAGAAACTAAATGGAATAAGAGAAGGAGAAAAACAGGTATAAAAGGTCTAAGAATTGGGAGGACCTAGGACATCTGATTAGAGAGTGCCTAAGGAGATTCAGCATAGTCCTGCCGGCAAAGATTATTTATTTACTTCAAGAGTTTAGAGTGGCAGTTTGGGGATAGCACCAGGAGATATCAGCTGTGATGGCTTGGAGAAACAGTATAAACCAGCAGTGTAAACAAGAGCAGGGCATGTATGAGTAGTTGAGAATGGTGAATAGGAGTATGACTAGACAAAAGATAGTAGGGATGACAAGTTTTTTTGGGGCACAGTCTAAGTTGGTCTGGTGTCGAATGGGACTGGGGCCTAATAAAAAGGAGCGTCTATACAGGAGCTTAAATGGGCTGTACCTTGTAGCATTCTGAGGACAGGCCTGAATTCTGAGAAACGAAAGTGGTGAAAGTATTGTCCAGTCCTTTTTAAGTTGGTGGCTGAGCTTGGTGAGGTGTGTTTTTAAAAGACCTTTAGTCCGTTCTCCTTTTCTTGAAGATGGAGGACCGTAAGGGATATAAAGGTTTCACTGAATACTAAGAGCCTGAAAAGCTGCTTGGCTGATTTGACTAGTAAAGGATGGTCTGTTATTAGACTGTATTGAGGTGGGAAGGCTAAACTGAGGAATTATGTCTGACAGAAGGGAAGAAATGACTGTGGTGGCCTTCTCAGACCCTGTAGGAAAGGCCTTTACTTATTCAGTGAAAGTGTCTATTTAGACTAAGAGGTATTTTAGTTTCCTGACTCGGGACATGTTGAGTAAAGCTAATTTGCCAGTCCTGGGTGGGGGCAAATCCTTGAGCTTGATGTGTAGGGAAGGGAGGGGGCCTGAATAATCCCTGAGGAGTAGTAGAATAGCAGATGGAACACTGAGAAGTTATTTCCTTGAGGATAGATTTCCACGATGGAAAGGAAATGAGAGGTTCTGAGAGGCGGGCTAGTGACTTGTACTATAGCATAGCCTGCCTTTGCTGGTGTGTGGCGATTAGGCCTGGTGGAACTGCCATCAATAAATCAAGCGTGATCAGGGTGAGGAATAGGAAAGAAGGAAATATGGGGAAATGGGGTGAATATCAGGTGGATCAGAGAGATACAGTCATGGGGGTCAGGTGTGGTATCAGGAATAATGTGGGAGGCCAGATTGAAGTCCGGGCCAGGAACAATGGTAATTGTGGGACTTAACAAAGAGTGAGTACAGCTGAAGGAGCTGGGGAGCAGAAAGTATATGCGTCAGGTATGAGGAAGAAAATAGATTTTGGAAGTTATGAGAAATGTAGAGAGTGAGTTGAGCATAGTTTGCGATTTTTAGGGCCTCTAACAGTATTAAAGCAGCGGCAGCCGCTGCACACAGACATGAGGGCTAGGCTAAAACAGTAAGGTCAAGTTGTTTGGACAGAAAGGCTACAGGGTGCAGTCCTGTCCTGGCTCTTGTGTAGGAATTCTGACTGCACTAACCATGCCTAGGAAGGAAAGGAGTTGTTATTTTGTAAGGGACTGAGGTTTGGGAGATTAATCAGACACGATCAGCAGGGAGAGCACGTGTATTTTTATGAGAATTATGCTGAGATAGGTAACAGATGAGGATGAAATTTGGGCTTGACTGAAGTAATGGGGGCTGTCTGTGAAGCCTTGCGGCAGTACAGCCGAGGTAATTTGCTGAGCCTAATGGGTGTCAGGGTCAGTCTAAGTGAAAGCAAAGAGAGGCTGGGATGAAGGGTGCAAAGGAATAGTAAAGAAAGCATGTTTGAGATCTAGAACAGAATAATGGGTAGTAGAGGGAGGTATCGAGTATGGGTTTGGCACCACCGGGTGGATAGGCAGAACAATTTGGTTGATAAGGCGCAGATTCTGAACTAACTTGTAAGGCTTGTCTGGTTTTAGGACAGGTAAAATGGGGGAATGGTAAGAAGAGTTCATAGGCTTTAAAAGGCCATGCTGTAGCAGGCGAGTGATAACAGGCTTTAATCCTTTTAAAGCGTGCTGTGGGATGGGATCTTGACATTGAGTGGGGTAAGGGTGATTAGGTTTTAATGAGACGGTAAGGGGTACATGATCGGTCACCAAGGAGGGAGTAGAGGTATCTTATACTTGTGGGTTAAGGTAGGGGGATACAAGAGGAGGACGCAAAGGAGGCTTTGGATTGGGAAGAAGGGCGGCAATGAGATGTGGCTGTAGTCCAGGAATAGTCAGGGAAGCAGATAATTTAGTTAAAGTGTCTCAGCCTAATAAGGGAACTGGGCAGGTGGGGATAACTAAAAAGGAGTGCTTAAAAGAGTATTGTCTAAGTTGGCACCAGAGTTGGGGAGTTTTAAGAGGTTTAGAAGCCTGGCCGTCAATACTTACAACAGTTATGGAGGCAAGGGAAACAGGCCTTTGAAAAGAAGGTAATGTGGAGTGGGTAGCCTCCGTATTGATTAAGAAGGGGACGCGCTTACTACCTTCTACCGTGAGAGTTACCTGAAGCTCGGCATCCGTGATGGTTTAGGGGGCTTCCGAGGCAATCGGGCAGTGTCAGTCTTCAGCTGCTAAGCCGAGAAGATCTGGGAAGGAGTCAGTCAGAGAGCCTTGGGCCAGAGTTCCAGGGGCTCTGGGAGTGGCTGCCAGGTGAGTTGAACAGTCGGATTTTCAGTGGGGTCCCACACAGATGGGACGCAGCTTAGGAGGAATCCCGGGCTGCGGGCATTCCTTGGCCCAGTGGCCAGATTTCCGGCACGTGTAGCAAGCTCCTGGGGGAGGAGGTTCTGGAGGAACCCCTGGCTGCTGTGGTTCAGGCGTTTGGACGTTCTTGTGTGCTGGAGATGTGGCTGGGGTTTGTCTCACAGTGGAGGCAAGGAATTGCAACTTTTTTCTGTTATTGTACACCTTGAAGGTGAGGTTAATTAAGTCCTGTTGTGGGGTTTGAGGGCCAGATTCCAATTTTTGGAGTTTTATTTAATGTCGGGAGCAGATTGGGTAGTAAAATGTATATTGAGAATAAGACGGCCTTTTGACCTTTTAGGGTCTAGGGCTGTAAAGCGTCTCAGGGTTGCTGCCAAACGAGCCATGAACTGGGCTGGGTTTTTATATTTGATGAAAAAGAGCCTAAATGCTTCTGATTTGGGATAAAGAAAAAGGAGCATTAACCTTGACTATGCCTTTAGCTTCAGCCACCTTTTTAAGAGTAAATTGCTGGGCAGGTGGGGGAGGGCTAGTCACGGAACGAAACTGTAAGCTGGACCAGGTGTGAGGAGGCGAGGTGATAAAAGGATTATAGGGTGGAGGAGCAGAGGCTGAGGAAGAATTGGGACCTAGCTCGGCCTGGCGAGGAGCAGCCTGGGGAGGAGGGGAAAGGTCAGATGGGTCTGTAGAAAAGGAAGATTAGAAAGACTCAGCGACGCTTGGGGTTGGGACTGAGGGGACAGGCGGAAGGGAAAGAAGGAAGATTTGGGACGAGTTGCATTGGGGACAAAGACTAGGAAGGGACTGATGTGTAAAAGAATGCCTGGACGTCAGGCAACTCAGACCGTTTGCCTATTTTACGACAAGAATTATTTAGATCTTGCAGGATGGAAAAATTCAAAGTGCCGTTTTCTGGCTATTTGGAGCTACTGTCGAGTTTGTATTGGGGTCAAGCGGCATTGCAGAAGAAAATAAGGCATTTAGGTTTTAGGTCAGGTGTGAGTTGAAGAGGTTTTAAGTTCTTGAGAACACAGGCTAAGGGAGAAGAAGGAGGAATGGAGGGTGGAAGGTTGCCCATAGTGAAGGAGGCAAACCTAGAGAAAAGAGAATGTAGAGACATGGAGGGAAGGGTTTCGGGGGTTCTTACCCTCCAGAAAAGCGGGAAGGGGGGTCAGGGCACGGAAATAAGGGATTGGGGCACAGAGATAAGAGGTTGGGGTGCAGAAATAAGGGATTGGGGCACAGAGTTGAGAGGTCGGGGTGCAGAAATAAGGGATTGGGGCACAGAGATAAGAGGTCAGGGTGCAGAAATAAGGAATTGGGGCACAGAGATAAGAGGTCGGGGTGTGGAAATAAGGAATTGGGGGTTCTTGCCCCCTAGAAAAGCGGGACTTGCCGCTAAGGGTGAAGAAGGGGTTGAGGGGTACTTGCCCCTCCCCCAGAAAGGCAGAGAAGGGGTAGAGACACGGAGAGAAGGGGTAGAGACACGGAGAGAAGGGGTTGGGGTACTTGCCCCTTCCCCAGAAAAGCAGAGAAGGGATAGAGACAAGGAGAGAAGGGGTTGGGGTACTTGCCCCTTCCCCAGAAAAGCGGGACTTGCCGCTAAGGGTGAAGGACCAAGGCAGGCGTCCCTGTGTGGTCTGACACCCTTGAAACGTGGGTGAATAATCAGAGAGGCATCCTTGCAATGATTAAACACCAAGGGAAGGCTGCCTTCCCAGTCCGTGACCGGCGCCGGAGTTTTGGGTCCACGGATAAAACGTGTCCCCTTTGTCTCTACCAGAAAATGAAAGGAATTGAAATTAAGAGAAGGGAGAGATTGAAATGTGGTGCCAAGATTGAAAGGAGAAAGAGGTTGAGGGATAGTGAGGGAGGTTGCAGAAGAGAGTAAAAAGAGGCTGCTTACCGGATTTCAAATTGGTGAGATGTTTCTTGGGCTGGTCAGTCTGAGGACCTGAGGTCGTAGGTGGATCTTTCTCACAGAGCAAAGAGCAGGAGGACGGGGGATTGATCTCCCAAGGGAGGTCCCCCGATCCGAGTCACGGCACCAAATTTCATGCACGTCCGTGTGAAGAGACCACCAAACAGGCTTTGTGTGAGTAACATGGCTGTTTATTTCACCTGGGTGCAGGCGGGCTGAGTCCGAAAAGAGAGTCAGCAAAGGGTGGTGGATTATCATCAGTTCTTATAGGTTTTGGGATAGGCGCTGAAGTTAAGAGCAATGTTTTGCAGACAGTGGGTGGAGCTCACAAAGTACATTCTCAAGGGTGGGGAGAATTAAAAAGAACCTTCTTAAGGGTGGGGGAGATTACAAAGTACATTGATCAGTTAGGGTGGGGCAGGAACAAATCACAATGGTGGAATGTCATCAGTTAAGGCTATTTTTACTTCTTTTGTGGATCTTCAGTTACTTCAGGCCATCTGGATGTATACGTGCAAGTCACAGGGGATGCGATGGCTTAGCTTGGGCTCAGAGGTCTGACAGTTATCACCTAAGATTCTGACTTTTAATTATATATAACAATTGTATGTATCTACATGCGTATATATATATTCAATGCAATACATATATATGACATAAATCAATGTGAGGATCCTAAATGTCCATCCTTTGTTCTAGGAAACAATGAACTAAAAATAACAATGGGATATTTATGATCTGAATTAAGGCTTTCTTTGTATAAACTCAGAAATTGAAATTTGTCTTCTATTTGTTTTTCCTTTTTTTAGGGACAGGGTCTTGCAGTGACATGATCATAGCTCACTGTAACCTCAAACTTCTGGGTTCAAGCAATCCTGCCTCAGCCTCCCCAGTAGCTAGGACCACAGGCGGCATTGCCATGCCCAACTAATTTTTTTTTTCTTTTTTTTTTTTTGTAGAGATGGGGTCTCACGATGTTGCCTAGGCTGGTCTCAAACTCCTGCCTTGGCCTCCCAAAGCACTGGGATTACAGGCATGAGCCAGCACACCTGGCAATTTGTCTGCTGTTTAGTGGAGGACAGCAGCAAGAAATGTATCCTCATAATCAAACAACTGGAATAAGAAGTAGAAACTACACTACAGCCCTATTTTGTGACCAAAATTACGTTTTAGCTGATAGCATAGAAAATGTGCTGGCAAAATGTGTAATGTTACGGATATTGCTTGGTGATTCCTTTTTCTCAATTCAGGGCCTATCAGCTAACTTTTACCTTGCGTA